>NC_000022.11:32497442-32648957 GCF_000001405.40 Homo sapiens | reverse complement strand
TCCAGGGGCCTCTTTGTTTTACTTTGTGCCCATCCAAACTCCCTGCAGGGAGAAAATGTAAAATGCACATTCATTGGTATGAGTGGCCAATGACTGTTGTGTGGCACCTCAGAGTAAAAGAGGTGCTTCTTGGACAACAACAAAAATCATAATTGTCCATCTTAGTTGTTTGCTGTGAGCCAGGCTCTGAGCTCAGCGTATACTCTGTGTGTGTGATGTCATTTAATCTTTCAGCAACCTCAAGAGGTAGTACGTTCCCATTTTACAGCTAATGAAACTGAGGCTTTGAGAGGTTAATCAACCTGCCCATGGTCATGTAGCTAATATGTGCCAAACAGGGCTTTACAATGCCAAGTCTCAAATGCAGATATTTCTAACCAATGCTGTGCTCTTTCCATTAAACTACTAAGGGCAGGATTTTCACTGGGGCCAAAACTTTAAGTCCGGGTTTCCCAAACTTCAATCGTTGGTCACAACCTTTACAATTTTTACCATATTTATGTACTGTGTATACTGTAATTCATATAATTATTGATATTTTTAAGTTTTATCTTCAATAAACCTATTTTCAAAGAAACTGATGACTACCATAAATGGAAAACCAGTATCTCCTGACAAAAGAAAATAACCATAAAAAACACAAGAACAAAGCAATATTATTGAATTCATGCTGGATACTCTTGCTTGCTATGGGCTCCAAGCTCTCCAGGAAAGTGGGAGGTTTGCTAATATTGGGGAGGTGTTGAAAGAGCACAGGAACCAAACTAAGACTCTCCTTAATAGAGTCTCAAAAGCTAAGCCAGGTGTAGCGGCTCCTGTAATCCCAGCAATTTGGGAAGCTGAAGTGTGCAGGACTGCTTGAGGCCAGGAGTTTGAGACCAGTCTAGGCAATGTGGTGAGACACCCCCCCAATCCCTACAAAAACTTTTCTAAAAGTGTGTCTGTAGTCTCAGCTACTTGGGAGACTGAAGTGAGAGGATCACTTGTGCCTAGGAGTTCAAGATAAGCCTGGACAAGATAGTGAGACTCCATCTCTACCAAAAACAAAAAAAATGTAAAAAAATATTAAAAATATGTAATCCCAGCACTTTGGGAGGCCGAGGTGGGCGGATTGCAAGGTCAGGAGTTCGAGACCAGCCTGGCCAATATGATGGAACCCTGTCTCTACTAAGAATACAAAAATTAGCCAGATATGGTGGCGCGCACCTGTAATCCCAGCTACTCCGGAGGCTGAGGCAGAAGAATTGCTTGAACCCAGGAGGCGGAGGTTTCAGTGAGCTGAGATCACGCCACTGCACTCCAGCCTGGGCAACAGAGCAAGACTCCATCTCAATAAATAAATAAATAGCTGGGAACAGTGGCACACATCTGTAGTCCTAGCTACTCAGGAGTCTGAGGCAGGAGGGTCACTTGAACTCAGGAGGCCAAGGCTGCAGTGAGCCATGATCATACCGCTGCACTCCAGCCTGGGCTATAGAGTGAGACCCTGTCTCAAAAAAAAAAAAAGAAAAAGAAAAATCTCAAAGCTAGAAAATTCACTGAAAAGGAAATAACTTTCTCAGCATATGATTCAGTCTGTTGATGCTATTTTCAAGCATCACCAAACATCATCTCAGATGCCACCAGGATCTCTGTCCCTACCTCATATGCCTGTAGCCTTGGAAGAGGAGCCCACAGTAGGCTCCGAGAAAAGAACACCAAGAGGCCTTCTGGAGATCCCTGGGTCCCTCCTCTGCTGACCCCCTTGGATTTGGAACTCATAGACATGCAGAGGGGCATTCTGGGTGGTGTCTTCCAAGACCAAAGGCCAGTTTTCTCATGACATAGAATATAAGTAGGAGAGGTAAAACCCAGACACATAAAACAGGTGACCAGACAAGCCCCCAAGCCTTTGGCAGTTACAGGGACACACAGACCTGTATTCAAGCTGACTCAAGTTCAAGAGAGTTTCACTTGGTTCCCAGCAACCAGCGAAGGCAGGGGGCTTCAGGGGAGCCAGCCCTTGTCTCTTAACCTGATGGCTTTTTACTCTCCATACAGAACCAAAACCTCTTCCACAAGCCAAACAGGTCTCCACTCACTTCAGCTGCTCCATCTGGAATATCTCATCCAAAACAGAACCACAGAGGGAGAGGGGGCCTTGCCATTTGCTATTCTTGTATTTCTGCAATATCTGCCTCCATTCTTTCCACTGTTTCATTGTTTCTCAGTCTCTGCTCACAAAGCCAGTCAAATCAGAAGTGCCTCAATCCTTGACTCAAACCCGAGAAAACCCTTACTCATAGTTTGCAGGGCCTGGAAAGACTTTCTCAACATCCTCCTGCTCCCATAACGCTGTATTTGCAATCTTCTTGGAGCACCTATTATAACACATCTGCTCCTTCTTTATCCCTCTATTACCCCAAAAAAAGATCTAGCACAAAGAAGCGCTAGCCGGATGTTTAAAACTCAGGTGTAAATATTTATGGAAACTGCCAACACTAAATAAGCGACCTTATGAGTCAGGTTCTCCATCCACCTTCCCAGGGGGACTCAGATGCAAGAAATGTAAGTGGATTTTTCTAAGGTTCATTTTCTATTTTAAGCACCAGCATGAACAAAAGTCAGTTTGGGGTTCCCTCCCCTTCTCCTAGAGTTGCGCCAGACTTTTGGAGCTTGAGTTAGTTCCAAGACAGTGGGAGGAAACACCAATGTTATTGATCCAAATGGCATTCATGGAGATGTCCATCACTAGGTGCTCAGCTGATGGTCCACACAGGTTGCTGTTGAGCCAGGGATCCATTCCATGCATCTCCACTGCTCTGTGCTCTTCCTGGATGCACGGGAATCTTCCTGCTATTCTCATACCTCAGTAGGCACCCTTTCCGCGGCTCCATCCACCTGGACGTTTCAAGCAGCCACTTCCACTCTAGGGTCCTGCTGCTTCTCCAGTGACATAGTTCTACCAGGAAGTAATGTGCAGGTCCCCTCCTTGCCTGAATCTCCTTGGGACTTGTTCCTTATTCCAAGGCTCACGTGCCAGAAGTGGGGTACAGCTCCCCACCCCACCCCAACCCCCAAAATATCCCCTTTTGTGGATTTACCTCCACTTTTCCCCTTTCCCCCAGACAGGGAATTCTTGTCTCATCTCAGAGGTGAGAAGCCCTGCTCTTACATACCGTATTTCTCCCAAATCTGTTGTCTCCTATGCCAAGAGTTGTTTTGGTTTTCCTAAGAACTTGGGTTTTGGAAACAAAAGCAGAGGGCAGGGAGCAGTTACGTCCCTTTCCCAAAGCAGTAGCCACAGAGCAGCCCACTGGCTCAAATGGAGAAGGGTCTCAAGAGAAAGGACATACCAGGTGGAAACAATTACCAATTAACGTTTCAGAAATATCATCCAGCCTCACAAGCTTTAAACACACACGAAAGCACGTATTACTTGTAGAGTAAATTATTAAAGCAGACAAGTTTAAGATGCAAGGAGGTATTTTTCTGCCATTCCTGGGCCCTTAGCTTTTTTTTTTTTTCAGACGGAGTTTCGCTCTTGTTGCCCAGGCTGGAGTGCAGTGGTGCGATCTTCGCTCACCGCCACCTCTGCCTCCCGGGTTCAAGTGATTCTCCTGCCTCAGCCTCCCAAGTAGCTGGGATTACAGGCATGCGCCACCATGCCCGGCTAATTTTGTATTTGTAGTAGAGACGGGGTTTCTCCATGTTGGTCAGGCTGGTCTCGAACTCCCGACCTCAGGTGATCTGCCCTCCTCGGCCCTTAGCTCTCATTTAATTATTGTCTGGCTTTAGGGAGGATTCTGGGTCCCTTGTCCTTGCCTTCTTAATTTTCTTAGGAAAAGTGTTTTGAAGGAAGGAATGTCACTGTCAAAAGGCACAGTTTCACCTCTGAGTCCTCTCTGGATTCTCCCCTCTGGTGTTTTCTCTCGGACCTGGGAACCTCTTCTCTCCTCCTGTGTCTGCCACCTCTCACCACCCTTTCCCCAACCACTTCCTGCTACGACATCATTCTAAGAACTGAGCTGAGGCTGGAGAGAGCTAGGCAGTGGAGGGCCAAAGGCACTGTGATTCCAAAAAGAGGTCTGAACCAGGTTCTCCCCCATCCCTCCCCTTTCCCGGAACAGTCAGAAAAAGAGGAGAAAAGCCACCAAGGCCACAGCACTGGGAGGCCCCAGGCAGCCACCCCAGGAATGAGGGAGGAGGCCACGGGATAGAGGCCGCTGCTGCTCTTCCAAAGGGGATTTCTTCACTTCCTGCCAGGCTCTGGTACACAAACCTGTGTGTTTAGGAGGGAAAGGAATGTCACTGATTGCTCCAGTGGTGGTGGAAAGGGAAAAACGAAAATAACCTGCCCAGCAGTTCAGTTTCCTGTGCATGTGCCTGCATGTGCGAGCGTCAGTCCATCCGCCAGCCCAGCACACTTCCTGCTTGTCTGGGCTGGAAGGCGTTTATTTGGGAGGGTTGCGTGGAGCCAGGGCATGCTGAAAAGGCATTCCCAGGGCCCCTGACACTCACGTGGCAGGACAGCTGCCACCTGCCACCTAGAAGGAGGATCTTTATCCTCAGTGTGCCTTCAGGGACTGGTGGAGAGCACCTCCCTCTTCCTCTTCCCCACCTCATACCCCTCCCCTCCACTGCCAGCCTCCAACCCTGAATGTACGGTTGACTATCTGCTTATATGTCTCGTCTCCCTGCTAAACTTCAGGCTCCCCAAAGGGTAGCAATGGGGTCAAATTCCATTTTGTATGTCCTGCCTAGCACAGTTTCTGGCACTCAGTGGGTATTCAGTATATGTTTGTGAAACTGCACTCTGTCTCCCATCTCCCTCCCTGAATAGTTCCTTTCTCCCATCATCAGTCAGTCTTGTCGCTTTTTTTTTTTTTTTTTTTTTTTTTTTTTGAGGCAGAGTCTCGCTTGCCCAGGCTGGAGTACAGTGGTGAGATCTCGGCTCACTACAACCTCCACCTCCTGGGTTCAAGCGATTCTCCTGCCTCAGCCTCCAAGTAGCTGGGATTACAGGTGCCCAGCTAATTTTTTGTATTTTTAGTAGAGACGTGGTTTCTTCATGTTGGCCAGGCTGGTCTTGAACTCCTGACCTTGTGATCCACCCGCCTCGGCCTCCCAAAGTGTTGGGATTACAGGTGTGAGCCACCGCGCCCGGCCCCTTGTCTCTTTCTTTAAGCACATCCTCTCAGTAAATGCTCTGAACTGTCCTATAGGAGAAGTATTGTTACCTCCATTTTACAAATGAGAAGGCTAAACTCAAGGTCAAATTCATACCAATCATAAAATATTAGAGGTTTGAAATATTGAGATTTGAACATGGGGTCTTCTGATTTATTTCTACTATAACTCTTTTTTCCCTCCTCTGTTCTTCATTTATCTTTTCCTTTATGGGTCTGTTCTGCCCCCCCCGCCCCCCCACCATTTCTAATTTGCCCTCTCATTATTCTTAGAGATCTCTTACAGTGATTTCAAGGACTCTCTGGGCTTTTGGCAGAAGGCTTAAGTTGACCCCTGTGGGGCGAGATTAGGTGGCAACGCAAAGTGTGAAGATAAACATCCTTCACATCCCTGCTCAAATCTCACCCCCTTGGTGGGGCGCAGTGGCTCACGCCTGTAATCCCAGCACTTTGGCAGGCCGAGGTGGGTGGGTCACAAGGTCAGGAGTTCAAGACCAGCTTGGCCAACATGGTGAAACCCCATCTCTACTAAAAATACAAAAATTAGCCGGGCATGGTGGCGTGCACCTGTAATCCCACCTACTCAGGAGGGGCTGAGGCAGGAGAATTGCTGAATCTGGGAGGCAGAGGTTGTAGTGAGCTGAGATCACATCATTGCACTCCGGCCTGAGTGACAGAGTGAGATTCCATCTCAAAAAACAAAAACAAAAAACAAACAAACAAATAACTTCCTCAAAAAAGGTTTCCCTATCACTTTTATAAGCTCATCTTTTTAAGTGTAAATTGTGTGCACATTTTATAATGTCCATATGGATCAGCATATTAATACAAGTATAACTTTTAGGTAGATTTAAAAAACAAATAACTCATCATATATTGAGATGCATCCTCACCTTTTTTTGATAGGGGGCCTGATCAAAAAGTTTGGGATAGGGCCAAGCACAGTGGCTCAAGCCTGTAATCCCAGTATTTGAGAGGCCAAGGTGGGAGGATCATTTGAGCTTAGGAGTTCGAGACAGCCTGGGCAACATAGTGAGACCCCCATCTCAAAAATAAAAATAAGGCCGGGTACGGTGGCTCACGCTTGTAATCCCAGCACTTTGGGAGGCCGAGGCGGGCGGATCACGAGGTCAGGAGATCGAGACCACGGTGAAACCCCATCTCGACTAAAAATACAAAAAATTAGCCAGGCGTGGTGGGGGCGCCTGTAGTCCCAGCTACTCGGAGAGGCTGAGGCAGGAGAATAGCGTGAACCCAGGAGGCGGAGCTTGCAGTGAGCCGCGATTGCGCCACTGCACTCCAGCCTGGGCGACAGAGCAAGACTCCATCTCAATTAAAAAAATAAAATAAAAAGATAAAAAATCAAAATCAAAATAAAAAAGTTTGGGGTAGGACACTGAGTGTGGCTTAAGTCCTTTCACAGTCTTGTGATTTGGATTGCCCTTCTAGAAAATGGTTGGAATCCTTAACCAGAAACTTCTTTATTATTATTATTTTTTTTAAATGGAGTCCTGCTCTGTCACCCAAGGCTGGAGTGCAGTGGCATGATCTCGGCTCACTGCAACCTCCGTCTCCCAGGTTCAAGCGATTCTCCTGCCTCAGCCTCCCGAGGAGCTGGGATTACAGGCGCTTGCACCACGCCTGGCTAATTTTTGTATTTTTAGTAGAGACAGGGTTTCCCCACATTGACCAGGCTGGTCTCAAACTCCTGACCTCAGGTGATTCACCTGCCGCTGCCTCCCAAAGTGCTGGGATTTCAGATGTGACCCACCGCACCCGGGCCTTAACCGGAAACTTAACCAGCACAGTGTGAGGATTGCCAGAGGAAATGCTCTAGAAATATGGGAGTTTCCATCTTTGGAGGCTGGGGAGGGGCAATCTGTACCCCTGAAAAGGGTTTCTCAAACAATGAGGTCCCCCAATTTCTCAGGAAGCACTTTTTCGTTTTCTTAATATCAGCTTTATTGAGATATAAGTCACTTACAATACAATTTACCCACTTTAAGTGTAGTATTAAGTGGCTTTTAGTATATTCGCAGATATGTGCAACCATTACCACCTTCAATTTTAGACCATTTTCCTCTCCCCAGCGAGAAACATCATACTCATTAAGCAGTCATTCCCCTTCCCTCCTCCCACACCCCAACAGCCCTAGGCAATTTTTTTTTTTTTTTTTTTTTTTGAGATGGAGTCTTGCTCTGTCGCCCAGGCTGGAGTGCAGTGGCACCATCTCGGCTCACTGCAAACTCTGCCTCCCGGGTTCACAACATTCTCCTGCCTCAGCCTCCCGAGTAGCTGGGACTACAGGCGCCCGCCACCACGCCCAGCTAATTTTTTGTATTTTTAGTAGAGACAGGGTTTCACCGTGTTAGCCAGAATGGTCTCGATCTCCTGACCTCATGATCCGCCTGCCTCAGCCTCCCAAAGTGCTGGGATTACAGGCATGAACCACCGCGCCCGGCCCCAGAACTCACATCTTAACGTTTAGCTTCCCAGGGATTCTGAAGCACGTACGAGTTGCAGAGCCTTGAACTCCAGTGAGGTGATGTTCATTCTGAACACGTGAGCTCCACGGTTCAGATCACAAGTCAGAAAGAGGCCAGCCCTGCCTGACTGCCTGTAATTTAATCACCATTGTTGACGTTCGTGCTCAATGTATTGAGGTGTTTCTCATATATGATGATGCCATGGGACCACATTTACTCTTCATAATCAATCTGTGGGGCTGGTTTGGTCACCCCCGTTTTGCTGCAGAGGCAGAGACCTGGGCGAATGCCCAGGCACACCCAGCTTAAGCTACGTAGCAAACCAGAGCCTTCTGACTTGAAGCCCGATGCTTATTTATAATACCCCTGTGACTCTGTTTCTAAATCAAAGATGAATCCAAGTGATCTGACAAATATGAATAGATTTTTTTTTTTCCGAGACAGAGTCTTGCTCTGTCGCCCAGGCTGGAGTGCAGTGACACGATCTCCGCTCACTGCAATCTCTGCCTCCCAGGTTCACGCCATTCTCTCACCTCAGCTTCCGGAGTAGCTGGGACTACAGGCGCCCGCCACCACGCCCGGCTAATTTTTTTGTATTTTTAGTAGAGATGGGGTTTCACCATGTCAGCCAGGATGGTCTCGATCTCCTGACCTTGTGACCCGCCCACCTCGGCCACCCAAAGTGCTGGGATTACAGGCGTGAGCCACCGCACCCGGCCAAATATGAATAGATTTATGAAGACTGTGAGGAGCTGGGGCTGGAGTCCTGTCTGCTTAGCCCCTACTCCACCCCAGTGGTACTCCTGCAGCTTCTTAGTGGAACCCCTAGTTCTCTGAAGAACACAGTTTAAAAACCGCTGGCCTAGGAGCTTAAAGTCATCTCTCAAGGAGAATTTGATCTAAATGAGATTAATAATGTCTCATTAATTCATCAACCCTTTCTAAACAGCCATCTTGTGCCAGCACTTTGGTCGATTCTGAGTACACAATAAACAAGGCACAGTCCCTGCCTCCAAGGAGCTTACAATCTAGCAGAGAGGCATGGGATAAATGCTACAATAGAGGTTCATTCCTGGGAGTATGGGCAGAGGAGGCAGCCAGCGTGATTTGTGGGGTACCAAGGAAGGCTTCCTGGAGGAGGTGAGGCCTCAGTGGAGACTTGAAGACAGTATAGTCCTTCACCAGGCAGAGGGAGGAGAGAAAAAGCATTTCAGTTGGAGGAAAGCAGGTGCAAAGGTAAATAGGCAAGAGTGGCCTGTGTGTTTGTGGAGAGAACAGTTTTGCAGTTCTAGAACATATGGATTGAAGAAAGGAGTGGCAGCAAGAGCATGAGACTGAAGAATTGGATCAGGATCAAATGGGAAGAGGATAGGACTTTATAACATCCAATAGCCACACAAAGTGTCATCCAATTCAGTGCTAAACCACAGATTCTGACAACAGCACTCATCCAAGGAAAAGGGACATGGTGGCTCACACCTGTAATCCAGGCACTTTGGGAGGCCAAGGTGGGAGGATTCCTTGAGGCCAGGAGTTTGAGACCAGCCTGGGAAACACAGCAAGACCCTGCCTTTACAAAACAAATATTTAAAAGTTAGCCAGCTGTGGTGGCACCTATAGTCCCAGCTACTAGGGAGACTGAGATGGTATATCACTTGAGCCAGGAGATCGAGGCTGCAGTGAGCTATGATAGCACCACTGAGCCATGATCACACTACTACATTCCATCCTGGGCAACAGAGTAAGAACGTGTCTCAAAAAAAGAAAAGGAACTTAATTCACAAACATGAAAGAAGCAAAAGAGGCTACCGTAACCAAAACAGTATGGTACTGGTACAAAACAGACACATAGACCAATGGAACAGAATAGAGAACTCAGGAATAAAGCTGCACACCTACAGCCATCTAATCTTTGACAAAGTTGCCAAAAATAAGCAATGGGGAAAGGACTCCCTTATTCACTAAATGATACTGGGATAGCTGGCTAGTCATATACAGAAGAATGAAACTGGACTCCTACCTTTCACCATGTAAAAAAATTAACCAAAATGGGCCAGGCGTGGTGGCTCATGCCTGTAATCCCAGCACTTTGGGAGGCCGAGGCGGGTGGATCAGGAGGTCAGGAGATCGAGACCATTCTGGCTAACACGGTGAAACCCCGTCTCTACTAAAAATACAAAAAAATTAGCCGGGGTGGTGGCGGGCGCCTGTAGTCCCAGCTACTTGGGAGGCTGAGGCAGGAGAATGGCATGAACCCAGGAGACGGAGCTTGCAGTGAGCTGAGATCGCGCCACTGCACTCCAGCCTGGGCCACAGAGTGAGACTCTGTCTCAAAAAAAAAGATTTCAATGTAAGACCTCAAACTATATGATCCTAGAAGAAAACCTAGGAAACACCATTCTAAACACAGGCCTTGGGAAAGAGTTTATGAGTAAGTCCTAAAAAGCAATTGCAACAAAAACAAAAATTGACAAGTGGGACCTAATTAAACTAAAGAACTTCTGCACAGCTAAATAAACAATCAGCAGAGTAAACAGACAACTTACAGAATGGGAGAAAATATTCACAAACTATGCATCTGACAAAGGTCTAATATGTGGAATCTATACAGAATTTAAACAATTGAACAACCAAAAAACCGATAGCCCCATTTAAAAAAATTGTCAAAAGACATTAACAGATGCTTCTCAAAAGAAGACATACAAGAGGCCAACAAACATATGAAAAACTGCTCATCATCACTAATCATCAGAGAAATGCAAATCAAAACCGCCATGAGATACCATCTCACATCGGTCAGAATGGCTGTTATCAAAAAGTCAAAAAACAACAGATGTTGGTGAGGCTGCAGAGAAAAGGGAATGTTTATACACTGTCTGTGGGAATGTAAATTAATTCAGCCACTCTGGAAAGTAGTTTGAAAATTTCTCAAAGAACTTAAAACAGAACTACCATTCAACCCAGCCATTACTGGATATATATCCAAAAGGAAACAAATCATTCTACCAAAAAGACGCATGCACTCACGTGTTCATTGCAGCACTATTCACAGTAACAAAGTTATGGAATCACATAGACACCCACCAAGAGTGACCTGGATAAAGGAAATGTGGTTCGCACACACCATGGAATACTATGCAGCCATTAAAAAGAACAAAATCATGTCCTATGCAGCAACATAGATGCAGCTGGAGGCTTTTATCCCAAGGAAGTTAATGCAGAACAGTAAACCAAACAATGCATGTTCTCACTTATGAATGGGACCTAACATGAAGTACTCACGGACATAAAGATGACAACAATAGTCACTGAACTACTAAAGGGAAGAGGGAAGGAAGGGAAACAAGGGTTGAAAAGCTAACTGTTGCTGGGCGCGGTGGCTCATGCCTGTAATCCTAGCACTTTGGGAGGCCAAGGCGGGTGGATCATTTGAGGTTGGGAGTTCGAGACCAGCCTCGCCAACATGGTGAAACCCCCATCTCTACTAAAAATACAGAAATTAGCTGGGCATGGTGGCACATGCCTGTAATCCCAGCTACTCAAGAGGCTGAGGCAGGAGAGTCGCTTAAGCCTTGGAAGCAGAAGTTGCAGTGAGCTGGCATCGTGCCACTGCACTCCAGTCTGGGCGACAGAATGAGACCCTGTCTCAAAAAAAAAAAAAAAAAAAAAAAAAGAAAAAGAAAAAAAGAAAACCTAACTGTTGGGTACTATGCTCAGTACCTGAGTGACAGGATCATTCATATCCCAACATCCCAGCATCATGCAATACGCCCAGGTAACAAAGCTGCACATGTGCCCCTTGAATCTAAAAGACAAGTTGAAAAAGAAAAGCAAACAACAAAACCAAAAACCCAGGGAGAAGGTGGAAATTAATGATAATACCTGACATATCCACCACGCAGACTGTGTATTCGGCAGACTTTAAACACATTAGATATAATAACTCTGTTCCATCCTCACAACATCCCTATGATGGTGGGACCGTCATCATCCTCGTTTTGAAGTTAAGGAAACTGAGGCACAGAGATGTTAGAAAACTTGCTCAGCCTCACACAGCTAGCAAGCAGGAGTGTCAGGATGGAAACCAAGCAGTCTGGCTCCAGACATTGGTTCTCTATTACAACACTTCACTTTGCCTCTGGTAAGATTTAGAATTGCAGGCACAACCGTCTTCCTCCCTGCAGGGACTCCCTGTGTAGAACAGAAGAGCATTCAGTAAAGATTCATTTTTGTTGTTGTTGCTGTCATTTCTAGTTCAGTGGTTCTCAGACTGTGCACCTCCACCTCTGCAGGATGAGTCAAGTTTATGGTGGAGGCGGGACAGGGTGGAGTGGCCTTACTTTTATCTGTTCTATATACTGGGACACTGGCTATAATTTTATTTTTTCAAAAAGAGGTTAATTGCTTTAAAAGAAAAAACTGAAAGCCACCTGTCTAATCTGACCATCTCATTTTATAGATAGAGGAGCTGAAACCCAGAAGAGTTGAGCGACTATTGCAGGATCATATAGCAAATGAATGTCAGGACTGAGCCTGTGTCCAAATCTCCTGACACTGCTTTAGAGAGCCTGTTTCTCTTTCTGGGGCTCTCAGATATCCAAGGCAAAGAAAAATGAAATAATTCAGAGTGTCTAGATCCTAGGCCAAGTTTTCTGCCCAGTTCCAACTATACTGAGTGTTCAGCCATGATTATCCCCCCAGGATCAAGGTCACCATTACTGAGCCTCACTGATTGCAGATGGCGAGAGGTCAAGGTGTCAAGTCCATCTAGCAATGGCCCGTCATGGGGACAGCCACTTTTAAGGTGGATCTTCTCTTTTACCAATGACTGGTGAAGGTGGGAACAGCAGTTCCAGCAAAATGGTTTTGATTTTCTTTTCTTTTCTTTTTTTTTTTTTTTTTGAGATGGAGTCTCGCTTTGTCGTCCCGGCTGGAGTGCAGTGGCACAATCTCGGCTCACTGCAAGCTCCGCCTCCCGGGTTCACGCCATTCTCCTGCCTCGGCTTCCAGAGTAGCTGGGACTACAGGCACTGGCCACCACGCCCGGCTGATTTTTTTGTGTTGTTAGTAGAGACGGGGTTTCACTGTGTTAGCCAGGATGGTCTCAATCTCCTGACCTTGTGATCCGCCTGCCTTGGCCTCCCAAAGTGCTGGGATTACAGGCATGAGCCACCACGCCCGGCCGTGGTTCTGATTTTCTAACAGTCCTTGTCAGGGTTCTTAGCAGGCTCCTCAGAATGACAAATATGGTTCATTTCTTTGGGGACAACATTCAAAAATGTCAGATTCCTTCTACATCGATACCTTAAGGGAAAAAATACGTATGTAGAGTTTCAAGTTCAAAAAATCTTGTTTTGTTCCAATGAGCAGCTGCCTAATGATTTCAAGCAAAGGAGGGATCAGGAGGATTTTTTCTCTTTCTTTTATCATTCTTTCTTAAGTCTTTTTAAAGAAAAAAGTTAACTCAGTTAAAACAAAAATAACGTTTGGGTTTAGTTTGGGAGATTCGGGAAATTTGCATGGCTTATTTGGGAGTCTACTTAGTTGTCTCCTCCATCTGATTTGGAGAACAGAGTCCCAGAGAGCAACCGTCAAACTGCGTTTTCTGTATAACATGGCTCTGTCATTCATCCAGCACATACCGGCTGAGCACCTGCACTACAACGAGTACTAAGCCAGATGCCAGGAAATTCACCATCCACAGAAACCCAGCATTGCACCAGGGACCTTGAAAGCATCTGTGAAATATTTGCTCTAATATCCTAGAATGTCCCTATTTCAAATATCTGGCCCCAATGTTTGCAGATATGTTCTGATTTGGGTTGAAATAAGTGAAGGTAGTGGGTTAACTCAGCATCAGCTGTGAGTAAATATTTCCCTGTATCATAGTCACTGGGAATGCTCATCCACCTAGTTCAACCAACATCTACTGAGCTTCCCAAATACAGGCCGAATACAGCCCCAGATTCTGAAGATGGAAAATAAAGAAGAGAGAAGATAGATACATATAGAAAATAGAAGATAGATGACTGATAGACTAGATAGATGGATGGATGGATAGACAGACAGACAGATAGATAGACAGACAGATAGATAGAAAGATTAGCCTACAGACATACCACCCTTAACACACCGCTCTTGTCTGATCTTGGAAACTAAGCAGGGTCGGGCCTGGTTAGTATTTGGATGGGAGATGTAGACCGATATACAACAAGCACAGAGTTGAGAACATCATGAGGGTTCTCCCAGTAGACCGGGGTGTCTAATCTTTTGGCTTCCCTGGGCTACATTAGAAGAAGAAGAATTGTCTAGGGCCACACATAAAATAAACTAACACTAATGATAGCTGATGAGCTAAAAAAAAAAAAGTTGCAAAAAAAATCTCATAATGTTTTAAGACAGTTTACAGATTTGTGTTGGGCCACATTCAAAGCTGTCCTGGGCCACACATGGCCGGCGGGCCACAAGTTGGACAAGCTTGCAGTAGACATAATTTCTGCCCAGGGTGGGAAGGCAGAGGTGGCCAAGGGATTCCGGAGCACTGAAAGGGCCTGGAAGCCAGCCTGGGGAAACCAAGAAGGGATTCCTGGGGCAGAGGTGATGCTGGAGGGCAGTCCTGAAAGAGAAGTAATAGTTAGATGAGGAAGAGGACAAAAGGGGAACAGCGTGAACAAAAAACAAGGAAGCCATGAAACCCCTCGCAGGGAGGGAACCACAGACACTTGTATTTCTGGAGGTGGTGCCGAGCTGTCTAGTGATTTTGAGTTAGAGTGCCCTGGTCAGATATGCATTTTAGATCTTAACTGAGAATCCTTTTCACGGATGCCGTCAACCCCTCATTCCCATATGCACTATCTCTACGTTGCCTCTGTGAATACAGGAACATATATTTGAATTCAGTGCCACAGCAAGTAGCAGAAGATGCCAAGAATCCTGAACTGATTTGGGTGATCATGCTTCTATTGAGTCAGATGCTATCGTCTAGTGGTTCGGAACATAGATTCTGGTGCCAGACTGCCTGCTGAGTTTGAATAGTGGCTCGGCTGTTTATCAGCTTTGTAGCCACAGATGAGTTACTTAAACCTCTCTGTGCCTCCAGTTTCCTTATCTATACAACAGGGATAATATTGGTTCCTACCTGGAAAAACAGTTATGAGACTTTAGTAAGTTATTACGTATACATATAAAGTGATCAGAGCAGTACCTTGTAAGCATTCAGTAAATGTTAGCAAGTATTGCTTCCATTTTTATCTCTTACAACTTCCCTCCAAGAGCCCTCTGTCCCAGTGGCAGTCCCTTGATGGTCCTCTAAGTAGGCTGTCCATTTCTAAAACCAAGTCTTTGCCGGTGCCAGCTCCCTCCTAGGATGCCTTTTTTTGTGCCAGGTTGGGTGGCTCACACCTGTAATCCTAGCACTTTGGGAGGCCGAGGTAGATGGATTGCTTGAGCCCAGGAGTTCAAGACCAGCCTGGGCAACATGGCAAAAATCCTTCTCTACAAAAAAAAGAAAAAAAAAATGAGATTGAGAAAAACGCACCTGTGGTCCCAGCTACTTTGGGAGGCTGAGGTAGGAGGCTTGCTTGGACCTGGGAGGTCGAGGCTGCAGGGAGCTGTGATCACATCACTGCACTCCAGCCTAGGTGACAAAGCAAGACTCTGTCTCAAAATTTAAAAAAAGATTATTTTTCCTTTCCTTGCTCCCTCTGCCTCGGAGGTCAAAATCTGCTGTCCTCGGCGTACCACCTGAGGCCCAAAGGCCTTCCCAACAACTAGGATTCCCCTCTTTTCTTAATGCCTACGCACGTAGGACCAACCTTGTTTTGGGGGTACTTCATCCAATATTACCTTATTATTCCACAGAGAAATTTGGTCCTGGGGGAAGGGCAGGGGGAGACAGTGGAACATGGCCTATCCTAGGTTTCAGGAACCCCAGGTTAGAACCCCAGGGGCTCTGCCACTTAACTGTGTGACCCGGGACAAGTCACTGTTCCTCGGAGTCTGTTTGCTCCGCTCAAAAATCAGGATAATAAAATCAAAGCAGTCTGATGGAGGTGATGGGTGTGACAAGTCAGAAAATGAATATGAAGTATTTCGTAAAAATAATAACTGATGATTTAGTTATGACTATGAGTCTGGTGCTAAGTGCCGTACATGACGTCAAATCCCTTCATCTTTACAGCAGCCCTATGAGGCAATGTGCGGTTATTCCTCCCATTTGGTAAATGAGGAAACCAAGGTTCAGAGTGGAGAAGTAATTTGCCTAACGTCATGAGCCTGTATGTGAAGGAGCCGGGTGAGAACCCATGGGTTGTGGCTTCGGAATGAACACGCTTGACCACTATATAAATTCTCAAGTGCTGGCCAAATGACAGGCTTTGTGTTATTATCCATAACTACCCGATGAACTAATGGAATTAGAAGCCAAAGACATCCACGGCGGTCCCCGGGTCTTGCAAACCCTGTATGCGTCACGTTAATAGAAAATGACAGTAAGAAAACACAGTGAAGTGGCGATTTCCCTGGGTTTGGGGTTAATTCTTCTACCAGTAATACAATCAAACCTTGAGCCAGGCTGAGAAGTAAATAGGAAGGGAAAGGCTAAGGAGGATGATTGCCAAACAGCTGTTGAATGCCTACAGGGCCTTTGCTCTGCCCCTAGCTTCCTGCCCCAAACCTTTAAGCACCAAGCTGCAGATTCTCAGTCATCAAACCTTAGGGCAGGAAGGAACTTTGGAGATTCTCTGGCCCATCTCCCATTAGTTCACAGATGAAAGATCGAAGGCCCCAAAGGGAAGGTGTCTCGGCCAAGGTCAAGGGCTACTTCCCATTAGTTTAGGATTTATCAAACACTGCACCACTCACAAACATGTCTTGTTTGTGGATCAGCCACTGAGACCCTGAAGAGGAAGTAATTTGCCCAAGATCCCATACAAGTAAATATCAGAGCTGGGATTCTAAACGCCCAGGCAAGAGCTCTCACCGCCATAGCACACTGCCCAGTGGACAGCAGAAGCCCAGGTCCAGGTTGCCAGTTCAAGTCTCTTTTCCTAACATTAAGCTGCTGCCTGCAATGTCCTGGGAGATTCACCAACCCCTCCTGGCAGTGTATGCTGGAACACCCAGGGCTCCACACCCTGCCTGGTGATATGGGCGCAGGCCCACTCACATACTGCCAATACCCCTGCATTGAGCAATGAGGCCCCCAGTCCAGGAATTGCCACAAGACCTTTATCTGTCTAGGGCAGCCACTATCTTCCCCTTCAGCATCCCTCCGGCGCCTAGTAAACCCACAGATCCTGGCTCTTCACTCTCTGTCTTGTTTTTATAGGAAGTCAATCTAAGAGCCAAAGGCAAATTCCTCACCTCATAGACTATTTGTTCCCTGCCTTTGGTGACATAAAAGGGCTCTGGCTTGGGCAATGCAGGCTTTAGAGTGGAGGTGCTGGAGTCTGATCATGCTGGGTTCAAATAATACATCACCGCTTGTTGCTGTATTACTTTGGGCAAGTTACTCACCCTCTCTGGACCTCAATGTCTTCATCTGTAAAGCGGAAAATCTTAACAGTACCTACCTCATAGGATGGTGGGAGGATTAAATGAGATATTGAATGTAAAGCACTTTGATGCCTGGCACATAGTAGTTTCTCAATAAAAGGTGTAATTATTATACTACTGCAACCTTAGGAAAGACACAGCAATTCTAAGGTTGCTCATTTTCAAAAGCCCAGAGTTGTATCAGGTGGTTTCCTAAGGTCCTTCCTGCTTTAAAGATCTGTGAAATTACTTGACTCCAGGTGAATTTATTTTTCTTTCCTTCTTGTCCCTGAAGGAACTTTAGGATTTGCAGACTTCAGCCTTAAGCAGAGCCATACAGAGGATGTGCTCAATGATTTAAGAGCCTAAAGAGACAAGCGTTTGAAAATACGCACAAAAACCCAACATCTCAAACATCATCTGGCCTCTGCAGGTTTTTCTGGGTTTTTTTTTTTTTTTTGCTTGTTTCGTTTTGAGATGGAGTTTCGCTCTTGTCACCCAGGCTGGAGTGCAGTGGCATGATCTTGGCTCACTGCAACCTCTGCCTCCCAGGTTCAAGCAATTCTTCTGCCTCAGCCTCCCGAGTAGCTGGGATTACAGGCGCATGCCACCACGCCCAGTTAATTTTTGTATTTTTAGTAGAGACAGGGTTTCTCCATGTTGTCCAAGCTGGTCTCGGAACTCCTGACCTCAGGTGATCCGCCCGCCTCGGCCTCCCAAATTGCTGGGATTACAGGCGTGAGCCACCACACCCGGCCCTCTGCAGGTATTTTTAAACATCCCTCTGGCTGAGGTTAGCATTAGGGTTGGAATCCGAGTTGCTGTTAAATTCAGAGCCAAGGTCAGCTTTGAGAGGCTCAGCAGTGGGATGTGCTAGATATACTGGTGTTTTCAGGTCAAACACCTGTATTTGGCTTCTCATAGAACAGTAGGGAACACACCTGTAGCCTGTGAAGGGGCCAGGACAAAAGGATTTGATGTTTATCTTGACAGCAGTGAACACCCACTGAAGCATTTTAAGCAAGAGGAAGTCCTAAGGGGAAACTTGCCGCAGAGATGGAAATGGCCTATGTCTTGATTAAGTGTTGGTCACATAGCTGTGCACGTATATAAACATTTATTGATCTGTACTCTTTAAAAGTATTCATTTTACTGTTTGTAACGTGCACATCAGTTTTTTAAAAGTGTGCCCCAGCTAATAAGAGGCAGAGCCGAGATACAAATTCAGAAAGGACCAGATCAGGGCAGGCAAGTGAGACAGGGTTATGCAAATGTAGGGTTGGATCCTATCTTCATTAAAATATTAGTATTTTGCTCATCATGAATTTATTTACATTGATATTCATTTACTTAAATATCACAATAATAAGGCCAGGAACAGTGGGACATACGTGTAGCCTCAGCTATTTGGAAGGCTGAGGCAGGAGGATCACTTTAACCCAACCTGGGTAACATGGCAAGACCCCATCTCTAAAAATACATACATACGGCCGGGTGTGGTGGCTTAGGCCTGTAATCCCAGCACTCTGGGAGGCCGAGGGGGGCAGATCATGAGGTCAAGAGATGGAGATCATCTTGGCCAACATGGTGAAACCCCGTCTCTACTAAAAATACAAAAATTAGCTGGGCATGGTGGTGGGCGCCGGTAGTCCCAGCTACTTGGGAGGCTGAGGCAGGAGAATTGCTTGAACCCAGGAGGCCGAGGTTGCAGTGAGCCGAGATCGCGCCACCGTACTCTAGCCTGGCAACAGAGCGAGACTCCGTCTCAAAAAAAAAAAAAAATACATACCTATATAAAATAACATTAAAATATTTATTTTGATTTATGAGTTTGCAGGCACCTTCTCAGATTTTTATTTAATTTTCATCTCATTTCATTTTCATTTTTATTTAATTTTCAGGTCTCACCCTCCTTACCCTAGTCCTGGCCCTGATCATCCAGCTCTGTTCCCCTCCAGGGTACATGCTCTTAACCACCCCACTATGTGGCCTCTCCCAGTCAAGGGCACCATCAGGATTCAAAGAGCTTTGAAGGAGGTGACTTATACTGGGAGCTGGACGAGAAGGAAGATTGCAAAGAGGCTCCCAGGGGATGGCTCTGGCAAAATACAAAGAAAAAAGTTTATAAAGCGTTTAAATAAACCTGTGAAAGACAAGAAAGATAGTAAGAGAAAAAGGAGGTGTTTGGACCCAGGAAGCCAATCCCTGCCCACCAACCTCTCGTCCACACCGTGCCGCCTGCCTGAGAAAGCCTGGGCTGGCTGTCCCAGGGCTGACCCGGCCAGCCTGCTCTTGCAAGCCTCTTTCATCATTAGGTTCAACTGCTCAATGCAAACATTTTGATGAAGATTTTTGTATATAACAAGGATAGCAAATGATTCTTTGCATTACGTAGTGGTTAAAGTTTGCAAACACTTTCCCATATGTTACCCAGATGGCATCTGGGCCTCTCTCCTTGCCTCACAGATCTAGATGTGATTTTCTTGGACTTTCATTCATTTCACAATCTCCTAGTATATTTATGCAAATTCCTAGAGGATGGGGAAGCCTCTGTTCCTACCTCGAGGGCTGCTCTGTTGCTATCACTGACCCAGATCCCACGCTCAAATCCAAAGCGATTTCTGAGTGGGATGGATTTCACCAAATATTTGGGGAGCACACACGACAGGGTCAGAGCAGAAGGGGAGGAGCTTCACCTTTCACCTCTCAGGCTCCGAGCTCATAAACCTGCCCAGCTTGCCTGGAGAGCTCCAGGTTCTCTTTCTATCAGGCGGAGCAATTCTACCTGCCCAGGTCTAGGAGCCCTCCTGGGTCTAAGTCCCTCCCTAAAGAGCCCAACAGGGCACCTGGGAGACCACAGCCTCTTCCTTCAGAGAAAAGGCCCCCACTTTTCAGTTACAACGAGGGAAATTGAAAGCACACCACAGGAAGCATGACCAGCGGCCAGCACAGCTTACAGGGGGAACAGCCCGGCATCTTCCAGCTTGTAACTAAAGATTTGAGTGAGGTTTTTTTTTTTTTTAGACGAAGTCTCGCTCTTGTGCCCCAGGCTGGAGTGCGATGGCATGATCTCAGCTCACTGCAACCTCTGCCTCCTAGGTTCAAGCAGTTCTCCTGCCTCAGCCTCCGGAGTAGCTGGGATTATAGGCATGAGCCACCACGCCCGGCCAAATTTAAATGACTTTTAACCTCTCTGTCTCATTTTATTGTCAGAGGAATTGTGGGAGTCCCCTGAGAGCTCTTCTTCCAATCTCTCTGGCCCAGCCTCTTTGGGGCTGCACTTTGTCAGCACCAGCTTGGGAATGTAGAGAAATCCCCAGGCAGGAGCAGGTAATCCAGCTGCTGTTCCCACCAGTCCCAGATGTCCTTCCAGGGCCTCTTCCTCCTCATCTCCCCTCACTTCCAGTAATGGTCTTCAATATACCTTGTGAAAGAAGAATTCAAACTTGTAAATTAAATGAGGGCACTACATGGAAGCTTCTAGAAACACTAACATCAAGAGCAAGGGGAAAAGCAAAAGGACTCATTGGCCCCTCTCTGTGGAGCCTTTTGGAACTGTATCTTGCCTGCCCACACTCTTCTGGTAGCCGAGAGCAGGGCTGAGGGTGTGCAGGCTCCCTGGACCCCTGGTAAAAACATTCCTCTGGCCGGGTGCGGTGGCTCACACCTGTAATCCCCACACTTTGGGATTTGGCGGGCGGATCACGAGGTCAGGAGATCGAGACCATCCTAGCTAACACGGTGAAACCCCGTCTCTACTAAAAATACAAAAAATTAGCTGGGCGTGGTGGCATGTGCCTGTAGTCCCAGCTACTCGGGAGGCTGAGGCCGGAGAATCACTTGAACCCGGGAGGCGGAGCTTGCAGTGAGCCGAGATGGTGCCACTGCACTCCAGCCTGGGCGACAGAGTGAGACTCTGTCTCAAAACAAAAACAAAAACAAAAACAAACAAAAAAAATGCTCCTCTGTGTTTGTACAGGTGGAGCTTCTTCAAGGAGGGATGGGTGTGTACACAAGCCTGCATATGTGTGTGTGTGTGTTCAGTCTGGATCTTTCTATAAGTATGGGGGTCTTGGAGTTTCCGAGCATGTCTCTGTGTGTGTCTGGGTGTCTGGATGTCTATGCATGAAAGCTTCATACTCCTACATGTGTGTATGATTGCACTTGCCCATCCATGTGTGTGGATGTCCCTCTGTGGTTAGGTTTGGGAGGTGTCTCTGTGTATCAAAGTCTCAGCTTCTGGGTGTGTCCCTGCCCAGGTAGATGTGTGTCTGCATCCCTGGGTGCCAGAGAAAGATGGAAGTACAGATGTGTGGTGTGACCTGCCGTGAGTGTGCGTCAGGGTGTGTAGGTGTGCATAAGTGTAGAGGGACAGCAGAGCATTAGGGCTCACAGAAGCTGCAGCATACGTACACACTATCTTTGCAAAGCAAGTCATCTGTTTTCCTGGTTTTGTTTCTTTCCTCCCCATGGACTCTGGCCCCTCCTTGAAAACAAAGGGAGCTTAAAAAACGCAGCCCTTCCTGTGTTCCCAAATGTTCAGAATGCTGTGGTGCACTTGAACCGTGCCAGCTCGGATGCCCAGCCCTGCCGCTGTTGCAGGAAGTTACCCGCCCGCCGCACTGCCACCCCCCACTTACACAACGACCCCGGGAGGGTGGGTGGGAGGGAAGGAGGAACCGCACAGCTCGCTACCCCTCGACGCCCCAGCCAGTGGCAGGCCCTCCATGGGAACTGAGACTCTGTGTGGGGGCATAAGAGCATCATCTGGGGGCTTCCTCCAAAGCTGGGGGTGCAGGGAGACAACACCTTTACATGGAAATTATTGCCAACCAACCAGGTGTCCAGGGACCTCATTTTCCATTTTACGAGGTCAGTTCTAGGTAGAAGTCAACATTTTCATCGTTTCAACACACATTCACCAAATACCTACTACATGATAGACGCTGTGGAAGATAAAACGACAGCTTTGTCACCCTAGGATTGGTGCCCGCACCTCCACACTCGGGGCACCCAGTGTCCTCCATAACATAAGGGGGTTAAACTGGGTAGCACCAAAGCCTCTTCCACATCAGAAATTCTGTGATTCTTTTGTGGCAAGTTCATGAGTCTGTGCTCCCACACTTCTCCCTGCTCCACCATTCCCCGGTTGGGGCAGGTCAACAGAGTCCCCATCTTTCTCAGCTCTGCCCAAGTGCTCATTCCTTTCCCGCCTTCCTTCCTCCCCTCTGAAAAACCTACTCTCGGTCCTTGTTTACTCAAAGCTGTAAATTCCTAATGAACTCTTCTCTCTTTGTCTACACTTGAACAGGTTCCCTGCCTTACTCTAACCCCACTTTCTACCAGGACGATCAGAGCCCTCCCAGAAATGACCGCAGCCCATCTTTGCCACCTTAGGTCCCACATCATCCCTAACATCTCAGCACACATTGTTGTCAGGTTTGGGAGGTGTACAGAAGTCTCAGCTTCTGAGTGTGCCCCTGCCCAGAGAGATGCGTGTGTGTCCCTGGGTGCAGAGGAGGGTGGCAGGAAAGATGTGTGGTGTGTCCTGCCTGTGAGTGCTGGCCAAGCTGTGTTGCACAAGAGGCACCCTCAGCACAGTCTCCTCCCAAGCCCAGCCTCTTCTCAAGCCATTCCCTCTGCCTACTGGGAACACCCTTTCCTCCCTCTACCCCCAACCATTTCCTTTCACGGTCATTTCAAGGTCCATCTCAAACACCTCCTCCTTCCTTAAGCTTTTCCTGATTCCTCCTTCCTTAAGCCTTTCCTGATTCCTCCTTCCCCACCCAGTAGACGTGAGCTCTGTCTGATTTGAAACCTTTCCTGTGATGCAGAATATTTGGCCTTGACTTACGGTTATCGATATCTTTATCTGTTGTGCACAAGAAGACTTAGATCCTTAAGACTAAGCATCCAAAAATGTGTCTTGCTCTTGCTTGAATCCTCACATGGCGTCAACATTGCAGGTGCTCAGTAAGCATCTGCACAACTCAGTCCAAAGCTCAGCCATGGAATGTCAGGAGTTGGGTAGCCTGGTTGGAGATCATGGCACTGTCAGGGGAAGAGGTGGGAAGAGCAGAAGGAAGGAGTCTTGGAAGTCACAGCCAGGTGGTCAACCAATGACTGTCCCTGTGATAAGCCTGAGACCCCAAACATCTCCCTTATCCAAAATGGCCTGAATGTGTGAAGAAAGAAGAAGGATGCTAAAGTGGTCTATTTATTCCGTCTGGACCACAACTTTTCCAAGAAACAAAAAGCAAGGCCGTGTCATGTACTGAGATAACTCTGGGCTGGGGATGGCAAACTTGGGTGCCTTCAGGCCAGCAAAGGACCAAAGCCAGCTGGGAGAAAGGGGTGGTTGGTGACAAACTAGAGCATCTGTCCCATTTATAGGGAGCTGGTCTTGCCTGCAGAAACGTGGCACATGGATGGCTGGATCTAACCATTGTTCCAAAAAGCCCCATATCCACAGTTTTGTATGAAATCCCTCACTTTCTAAGTGTGGGCAATCTATTCCATTAGAAAGAAAAATCAACAACACTGGGTGGTCCCAGTGAAATCCGTCCACATTCAGCCTGTGGGCTGCCAGACTGAGGTTCCTACCTAGGTGCATGCCAGGTTATGGAGTGACATGACTGTGACGGGCTCCCTGCTGAAGCTAATTCTAAAATCCACCCAACTAGAGAAAGTGCTGGGTATGCCAATAAACCAACCCTGGGCATAGAAAGGCAGCGGGCAAGTGATAGGAGAAGGTTTAGAATGTCTTCATGGTCTCTGAAGCCAGGATCTTTGTGTGCCTTGAGAATCATGACCTAGAGGGTAGGCAGAAGGCTTAGGTCAGTCACCAGCTTATTTGACTTGAGCAAGTGACATCCTCTTTCTGAGCTGCAGAGTCTCCTTGTACAATTAGCGGGCAGGACTAGAATACCCCTGAGATGCCTTTCAGCCTCTGGCAAGGAAATGCTAACCGGTGACTGTGCAAGGAATGGGTCCCACCGTGGCAGGAGAGAATTCCTGTTGGCAGGGCCCAGACCTGGGAACTTTAGATGTGGACCTTGCCTCTTTCCACATGGCAGTGCCTTCCAGCAGGTGCCCAGCGACCAAAGGCCCAGCCCAAGTTCTCACAGCTCCACTCCGATCCTGGAGTCATCGCCGAAATCTTTATCCATGGGTGTGGTGCAGGGCACCAACAATCAGAGTACTGTTGGACAGGTCCCTACAGGTGTTAGATGGTAGGAGTTATGGAGAGGTGGCCCAGGGGAGAAGCCAGTACAGCTAAGGTGGCAGGAAGTCTTCCCGGTAAATGACTACCAATGAGATGAAAGTATTTCAATAGCCTGACAATGGGTATGACCGGGCAGGTGTGTATCCACCGACCATCAGTTCAGCCCTCCTCAGAATGCTGCTCATCCTGGGGACTGCAAGGCAGACCCAGATGCTGGCAACAGGTTTGAAAGTGACCCCCCACCCAGCCTCTGGGGACTTCCCCAGCAAGCCCAATTCACTCCAGAGCCCCCAACCCAGGCCTCCCTGGGCATTGGCAGAGAACAGGCACCGTTCCAAACCCTGACTTCATGCTGACCACCAAATCCCCAAGCCAGGGAGGGAGCGATGATGTCACTGTCCCCATGTTTCAGAAAAGCAATAACCGGACTCGGAAGAGGATCAGTTTTCAAGGCAGAAGTCCAAACAGTTGATCTTGGCAAGGGCCTCCGAGGATTGCCTCATAGAAGGAGAGGGCTGGCATGCTTGTGAGCATCGTTTGTTATGAGCTGGGAGGCAGCGGTGTCCTTGGACTCAGGAGAACCTTGGGGACCCTGTCAAGATGGAGAATGTCGAATCTGAAACAAATGGGCATTGGTGTCCTCGATTCCCGTCAGAACCCTCTTTTATGGTGGGAGGGGACACCTCGGCACTCACAGAGAAGCGTTTTTCCGACAGAGTTCAGCCACCCCACCCTGGACCCAAGTCCCCTCTTATTATTAGAAAAATGCCATCAGTTTCCTCAATTTGAATAAGTCCTATGAAGATGGAGTTTTGTTCACCACTGTATCCACAACATCTCATACAGAGTTAAAGAAATCAATAAATATTGGCTGAATGAATGGCAAGGAGAGGAATGGAGTGGGAAGTGGCACGTCTGGATTCCAGGGATCCAGGAGCATATCCAGGTTTGCCAGCTAGGCCTGCAGGCCAGGCAGGGCAGGCAGGTTGGGGTTATGGGAAGACCGCCATTGATTGCTGGAAGTGCACAATACATATTTTCAAAAACTTGGCCAGGCATAGTGGCTCATACCTGTAATCCCAGTGCTTTGGGAGGCCGAGATGGGAGGATCACTTGAGCTCAGGGGTTCAAGGCCAGCCTGAGCAACATAATGAGACCCCATCACTACAAAAAATAAAACATAAAATAGTAGCCAGCTGTGATGGCATGCATCTGTAGTCCCTTGGCCTACTACGGAGACCAAGGCAGGAGGATCACTTGAGCCCAGGAGTTTAAGACTGAAGTGAGTAATGATCATGCCCCAGCTGTCCAGCCTGAACAACAGAGTGAGATCTTGTCTCCATTGAAAAAAAAACTATGACAAAAAAAAAAGCAAAAACTATCCTTTGACAATCTGTGACAACTTTCTCTCCCTGGGGTTCACAATCTCACTTTCATGCTCCTTCCATTAAAGTCTGATCCCTTTTTTAAATAGCTGTTTGGCTAATCTGTTGTGGTAGACACTGTTGAAAAGGCCCCACTTTCGGAAAATGTGTTCAGGAGGAACAAGTCTCCCTCGCCCCTCCCTCCCCTAAACTACACTTCTGCTGTGCTCTCAAATGAGCTCAGTCACATCTCTGTCCCTGAGCATGTCATGTCCCCTCCCTGGGCTTCAGTTTCCCCTTCTACATAAAACACAAGCTAAACTAGAAACATCCTGTGTCCTTAACTTGTAGGAAGAGTGTCTCAGCCCCCTTTAAGAAAACGAAGCTTGAAGCCTCTCCCTGCAAAAATCCAATTCCTCACTAGTACAGAGAAACTTTTTTTTTTTTTTTTTTTTGCATCCGATTTCTGGAGATCCACAGCCCCTTTGCAGCTCAACAAGGGAACCCAGGGTCAGAGTCTTTTGGACTTGCTAATCTGGAAGCCCCTCCCAGCTCTGACTTTCTGGAATGTTAACCGAAGTGTGGCTGTGAGAAAACACATTCCAGCTGCTCTCCTCTGAGGCCAGCGCTGGGCCTCCCCCTCAGCTGCCCCTCAGGAAGGAAGCAGCCCTGGGCTTCACTAATGGCCCCAAATTCAGCCCCCAGTTTCCTCAAGACCCAGGTCCCAAATCAATAAAGGTAGGCTCCATGGAAATGAGGCAGGATGCAGAAGGAAATCCAGGCAGCTCGACCTCAAAGGAATTTCCTTTTCCTTGCCTCTCCTTCCAGTTCTGTCTTTCAAGAGTTTGATAGAGGTGGGAACGGGGATTTGAGAATTTTCTTTTCAACTGAGGCCCAGAGGAGGAGGTGGAGATGGGCCACAAGATAGAGAGGTCAGGGTTGGGGAGACAGGGCAGCGGACAGTGATGAATGTGGGTGGGGCCTTTGTGCATTCTCCAGGACAAAGTGGACTTTTCCAGTCGGCTGGTTTTCGAAAGCTATTTACGAAGCTGGACTAATCCAGCCCAGCTGTGCGGACTGTAAGCAAACAGGGCCTTTTGTGGGGTTCAGATTCCCCACCCCTAGCCTGTACTTACAGAGCTCACTCCACCCTTCCTGTAGGGGAGGAAATGAGGTGCCCAGGTCAAGCAGAAGAGTTATATCAGGAGTTATACCTATCTGTCACCATCCTCAGCCCCACCTCTGGGGACCCAGCAAGGCTCACCTGGGCATTGGGATGGACACATAGATCTGAGTCAGGAGGCCTGCTCTTCCACTTCTTAGCTGGGTGAACGTGAGTGAGTCTCTTAATTTCTCTGAGCCTCAGTTTTCCCCTCTGTGAAATGGCCATATTACCTAACTTCGAAATGCTGCAGGCAGCGCTTAACAGAGGAGATTCCATAATGTCTTTCTCCCTCTCTCTGAAATAGAGATTAGCACATAGGGAGACCTTGGGTGAGGTAGGTAAAAGGCACCCCCTGTAAGGGAAATTTGGGAAAGGCAGCACTCGCTTCAGGCCGAGAAGCAGTTCCCAGCACCAGGTGCATTGCTTGGCAAGATCTGCCTTTTCTCACCCCCAAGCCCAGGGCTCCTGTGCAGACCAGCACCCACACAGCACATGTAAACAGCAGTCACAAAATCCAAGCTGTCCTGCCCACCCTCCATCTGAGATGGTTTTTCTTTTAGAGCCCCAGTCTTTCAGTGAATCATTATCCCCTCTAAAATGCCTAATAAGGGGTAAAATTGGAGCATACGTTCCTGGTTCATTCCTGAAGTCACTGGGGTGATGAGATCATGAAGTCACAGGTCAGCGAGGCCCCTAAAATGGAAAAAAAAAAAAAAAAGGCAAAAGTTACCAGGACCAGCTTTACCTGGCCCTCAGCGTGGTTCTAGCCTGCCTGACCCTCCTAAAGCTGCAGTACCATCATTTAACACAAGTGGCCCAGCAAAGGGAGACTTCCCTGACTGGAGCTGCTCTCCTGGTGAGCCCAAGGGAGCATGGAGGGATCTGGTGTAAATGTCTTACATGGTCATGTGCTCTTGCTCCAGAACCCTTCTGCATTAGCAGTCCACACCAGGAGTCTCTAGCTGTTGACCAACTTCAGCCATCAAAAGTGTTTTGTTGGTCAGGTGCGGTGGCTCACACCTGTAATCCCAACACTTTGGGAGACCGAGGTGGGTGGATCATGAGGTCAGGAGTTCGAGACCAGCCTGGCCAATATGGTGAAACCCTGTCTCTACTAAAAATACAAAACTTAGCTGGACTTGGTGGCGCGTGCCTGTAGTCCCAGCTACTCGGGAGGCTGAGGCAGAAGAATCCCTTGAACCCGGGAGGCGGAGGTTGCAGTGAGCCGAGATAGTGCCATTGCACTCCATCCTGGGCAACAGAGTGAGATTCCGTTTAAAAAAAAAAAAGAGTGATTTGGGTTGTGAAGCTTCTTAAAACAATTTGAACTCAAGTTTGAAAATTAGGTAAGTTCATATCCAAAAATGCAGGCTTCCGGGTTCTCTTGAAAATTGAGAAGATCTGGCAATTTGGGGCCCTCTTTCTTTTAAGACAACCATTGACCCACTGAAACCAGGTATATGCTCCTTATTTTGCCCCAGTCCCCACCACTCCAGGTTGTTCCCCCATACTGAGGCTGCTGGTTGGTTGGCCTTATCGTTAGGAGAAAAGAAAATATGTCTTATTTACCTTGTCTATACCAAAAGTGAAGAAACAAAAGGCAAACTGAGAGGATTCAAGGAAAATGGAAGCCACAAGATTTCCCTGTGGAAGTAGAGAAATATGCCTTTCGTGATTCATATATGTATTAAAAAAAAAGTTTTTGGAGTACACTGGCTCTCTTCACTCAAAGCCCCTGAAGGCATTCACTTTTGACACCATATTCTAAACCTTTCTTTTGTAAAGAACCATGGCATTTTCAAGCTAGAGGCAATCTTAGAAGTTTGAAATTTTTTCCAACCAGATTTAAGATCTTTAAGGTTTATGTATCGGTTAGCTATTGGTGTGTAACAAACCACCCAAAAACTCAATGGCTTAAAATAATAAGAATGTATTATTGCTCACAAATCTATGAGTCAGCTAAGTGGCACTTCTAGTCTCAGCTGGTCTTATTCATCCATTGGTGGTCAGTTGTGGTCATGTCGGTAGCTCTGATCTTGGCTGGGTTCTCTCCTGTGTTTGGAGGTCAGCTGGCTGTAAGCCAGTCCTGGCTGTTCTCATCTGAGATGAGTAGGCACTCTTCCACGTATTCTCTCATCTTCTAGCCAACTAACCCAGGCTAGTTCACAAAATGATTACGGGGTCCCAGAGAGAGCTGAAACATGCAATGTCTCTGGGGACCTAGGCAGAACTGGGACACTTCTGCTGCACTGCCTTGGCCAAAGAAAGTCTCAAGGCCAGCCCAGATTCAAAGGGTGGGAAAACAGATGCCTTCTCTTGGTGGAAGGAACTGCATAGTCATGTTGTAAAGGTCATGGACACAGGAAAGTCAGTAATTGATACTATCAGTGCAATCAACCTAACATGAGTTGGGACTGTGTCTGATGCTATGGGAGCCTCTATTTTCCAAACCAAAATTTGAGATTTAAGGGCTCATAGTGTAACACAGTATTTCAAATGGGTTTGTCCTAGACCCTCCAGAATGAATGTTCACATTTATTCCTCCACATCACTCTAGCACAGTCTGACCCAGTGACCTCCACTGTTGATTATCTGACCCAATTCAAAACCTGGTATTTCAGAACAGGGGTGGAACTCCTATGTACATTTTGGGATCAAAGGCTGGTATTTATTAGCAGGCTATGAACTTTATAGGATTTCAGGTCTATGTGCCATTTAAATTAATCACTTTTATTTTACAAATGAATAAATTAAAATCCAGTGGTAAAGCGACTTAGCCACGATCATATGGTTAGGTAGGCCAGTGCTGTCGGACCTCAACGTGTTCATGAATCACCTAAGCATGCTGTGAAAATGCAGAATCTGAGCAGCCGGTCTGGGGTGGGGCCTGAGAGTCTGCATTTCTAACAAGAGCCCAGGTGATGCTGATGCTGCTGGCCCTGCAACCAAATGCTCAATATTAAGGCTCTGGACCTCACAGATTCTATAGAGAGGAGGTCACAGGTAGAAACACCTGCATTTAGAGTCCTCTCTATTATTTTGCAGTCCTTCAGCTTAGACCCATTTTACCAGTGGGTAAACTGAGCTTCACAAAGAAAGTGTTGGCATTGGATCTACTCCCTGAGGTTTTACAGAAGGGGGCCCAAGGTCCTCCATCACCAGGCAACTCCTAGAGAGCTGAGCTTAAGGAGCTGTGGCCCACTTTGAACTTTCAGCTGTTCAAGGTAGGGGCTTCCTTTCCTGCTGAGACCTTGGGCTGTGGGCCATCTTTTCACTTGTTGCGGACTCAGCTCATGATGTTGTCCCAGGGGTCTCTAAGTCCCAGGGCCTGAGATTGTCTGGTTAGTGATTTAGGAGCTTGGCAGCCTCTCTTGTTCTATTATGCAGCCTCTGAACATTCCGTCCAAAGGCCTTCTGGCACGCCACACATTTTCAGAATGAAAGGGGGGAAAATGAACATTGCCCTTGCTCATTTGCCTAATTTAAAAGCATCTAGAAGCTTTTTTTAGAAGGGGGAAAGAAACACCATCCATCTGAAATGGAGGAAGCACCTCATCAAGGAGCCAAGAGAGATGTGGAGACATAAGTTTCGAGGGCTGACACATTCATAGACAAACCTTGTGCCCGGTTTGTTTGTTCCCATCCACTTTCAGCTTGGAAACCACTGCCTTTTTGGAAGCTCTCGTGCTGGGAGGAAATTGCTTTTTCCTAAGGGGAGACCTGAACCCTCCTCGCCCCACTCAGGCATCAGTTTCCTACAATTTCACACGAGCTCAGTTTGGCTCCCGAACATTTATTGAGGGGCTACTCTACGACTCTGTGTCAGGCACTGTGCTGGATCTGTCCGTTCGATCATCAAAGATTTAGTGGTTAGGGAGAGCCCTGTGCTATACATTTCCGTATTCACTTAACAGTGGTTTATTACCAGGCGTCATGCCAGGCTCCGGGGATAAGAAGGGACTGAGATAGGCGTGATGTGGCTACACCTAGTCTAGCCAGAGAGAGAGTCACTAAGTGATCCTTATTGATGTATTGCAATAAGGAATTACTTATTGTGATAAGTAATCACAATAGAGTGCCTACTACTAAGGCAGATAGAAGAGGTCTTGCTCCAGAAACAGCATAGAGGAGAAGGCAGGTCGCCCACCTAGACTCGCAGCTGACAAGCTCTCCTCAAGCCTCGGGCAGGGTCCTCTCCCTGACCCCAACCCCTCCTCTCCCTAACCCTGCCTCCCTCACACACACCCCTTCCATCTTCCAGGCACCAGCCAGAGAAGAGTTCTTTCTTAAATGAGAATCTAATGGTGTCATTCCCCTACTAAAAATTCTTTACTGGGCTTCCCACTATTTGCAGGATTAAGTCCAAACTTCTCAGAATAGTTTACGAGGCTTTTTACAATTTGGCTCCAAATCTACCTTTCAGCCCTGGGTCCCACCCCGCTTCCCCATCATTCATCCTTCTCTCTCCCTATACTGAATATCCTGAGCTCCACGGGATGACTCAGAACAAGGGGCTCTCTCTCTTTAAAAAAAAAAAAAGAAAAAAAAAGATGTGTCATGGAAATGTTCAAATGTAAGCAAATGCAGAGTCAGTGATGTGAGGCGCCTCCGTATTCCCATTGCCCAGTTCCAGGACGTGCCCAATCTCATCACCTCCACGTCCCCACCCATCCCCGCTCCAAACCCCACACTGGATTATTTTAAAGCCAATCCAAGACACCATGTCCTTTCATCTGAAAATACTTCAGCATGTATTTCTGACAGATGAGGAGGGTCCTTCTTTTTTTGTTGAGGCTCCAAGTTTGTTGGGGGCAGAATAACTGAATTTGTGGTACAGCTTTAATGTGCACGTTTAACAAGCCAATGTTTTTAACACACACCCACATCCATACACACACGGCGTAGTGATTGTATGTCTGCCCTCATTTGGAGAGACCATTGAGGAATCTCTATTTGAGGCCCTTCTTAAACGTGAAGCCTTGGCCAGCCCTTCCCTCCCGCAGCGCCTTCCATTGACCTTCCATCCCTGTGGTTGGCCCTGTTTCCTGAATCCTCCAACCACTTTCACACCTTTGGGCCTTGTGTCCTTTGTGGCCACTTCTGCCTGGAACGTCCTTTCCTCTGTTGGGCACACTCCTGCATGACCAGCAAAGCCCAGTGCAAATTTCCCCTATGCACTGTCCATGATACCTCTTCCAACAACCTCCTGTCCTCCACAGGTCATCACTCACTCTTCTTTGCTTCTATAGCATTTTTTCTTCGTAATTCTCCTGAATGTTGATATTTCTGAGTTGAAATCATTTGCTTACAGATCTGCTGCCCCCACCAGCCTGGGAACCCTTCGAGGGTAGGGTCTGGGTCCTTTCTGTGTCCCCCAGAGAGGCGATCTGGTCCCCAAGCATGGATTCTGGCTTCAGCCTTGCCTGGACAAGCTATTGAATTGAGTCTCAGTGGTCTTGTTTGTGAACTAGGGATGCTATTATACTCAGCACTATGACAGGCCTCTCGTGTGGATTCAGTGCCCTGTGTCTGTGCGGCTACTGTGGCCCGACTGCCACAAGGAGACACTGAACAATTGTGACCTTCATCACCAGGTGTCAGCAATGACTCCTCCCTCAAAGGGGCCCCTCAGCCAGAGACATGTCCGTCCTTAGCATAAGGCCCTAGTCGTGTTTGGGCCCTGGTCGTTTTCCCCTCTGTCAGAGACCCTGGAAGTTTCCTGGCTGGTCCTGGGCCACTGAGCCTGCAGTAAAGGACCATGGACCAGCTCGCCACCTCGAGGCTCCTGCTGCCCCTCACCTCCTGCCCCCCACCTCCTGCCCCCATGCAGGAGAGCAGGCCCTGCGAACTCTGCACCCTTCCCTGGGGGCTTCTACACGGAAACTCAGTGCTGTCACTCCGGCTCCTGGCTGGGTCCAGGGGAATGCCCCTCTCTCCTCGCAGCTTGCAGGGAACTCCTGGCATCCTGCATTCCCTGGGAACTTCAGGTGTCTAGGAAGGCTCCGTCTGCCAGGCCAGTTGTGACCTAGGGAGGATCTTGCAGCTTGGCTTTCAGCCAATCCATTCCCACACGTTCACTCACAGAAGTTAGGGAGACTCCGCCCCCATTGCATTCCCTCCACTTTGCAGCTGAGAAGCTGTCCCTGTCGTACCTGGATGCCCTTTCTCCCAGGAAGACCTCCTCTGGCCCAGCCGTGCTGTGAACGAGCCCCAAAACAGCCCTCCTCTTCCCAAATCTCTACTCCCTGCAGACAGGTGGGAAAAAGCGGCCTGTGTTATTCTCTCTGAGCACTGCTGTGATGTTTCACACACTAGGGTGGGTTTAAAACTGCTTCATGGCCAGCCTCTTAGAACAAGTATGATTCCCTTATTAGAGCGTGCTATCCCTCAAAGCCCACTCCCTAAACTGAGAGCAGTGGCGTTCCCACCTTGTGACTTTTCCCACCTCCTCCAGAATGTGGCAGAGCTGGATGGAGCCGAGCCCTGCCACTTACTGCGACCCTGTGCCCCTGTTGTTCCCTCCCTGACTCCATTTCTCCATCTGTAGTTTTCTTTCTTTTTTTCTTTTTTTTTTTTTTTTTTTAGATGAAGTCTTGCTCTGACGCCCAGGCCGGAGTGCAGTGACACAACCTCAGCTCACTGCAACCTCCGCCTCCTGGTTTAAGGGATTCTCATGCCTCAGTCTCCCAAGTAGCTGGGATTACAGGCGCCTGCCACCATGCCCAGCTAATTTTTGTATTTTTAGTAGAGACCGGCTTTCACCATGTTGGCCAGGCTGGTTTCGAACTCCTGACCTCAGGTGATCCACCCACCTCAGCGGTGGATCCCAAAGTCTGGGATTCTTCCCATGGCTGGGATTACAGGCATGAGCCACTCGCACCCGGCCTCCCATCTGTAGCTTTCAAAGAGTCATTGCGAGGATCAAAGGAGTTAAACGCACATCAGCACTTAGCAGAGTGTCACCACTGTCGGCTCCCAACCACGGTGGGGGTAATTTTTTACTTTCCAATTATTCTTCCCCATTGGCAGTATTTTTTTTTTTTTGGAACATTTGTCTGAAATTTGCAGAATAAAAGGTCCCTTGGAGTCAGGGGCTGTTTCCATGGGGCCAGCACAGTATGTGCTTCATAAAGTTTTTTTTCCAGTGCAGAAGACTGGGGATGGAACAAAACTACTTCTGGATTCCGAGGAGGGGGCCCCGCTCTTGAGTTTTAAGGCTTGGGTTTCACAGCTTCATTTGACAAGCTTGAACCTCAGTTTCCTTATTTATAAAGTTGAGGTAATGCCTTCGGCCTTTTGTATATCATTAATAATAGCTACAAATGCAGAATGAAGTGGAGATTGAAGGATGATGACTAGAAATGGGACCTGCCCACAGTCTCTGCTTCCCAGGCCTCAGTTTCCTCCTTTGTGTGATGAAGGAGCTCTGCTGCTCTGGGTGACCTGTGAGTCCCCACCTCCCCACCACTGGTCAGACAGGGTTCATCCCCCTGTCCACTCAAGGGGAGACCCCAATATAGTGTAATGAAGAAAACTGGGGGTCTTGGCAGCTGCAATAACCCTCAAGGGACCATCAAATCCCTCCACTGTGTCCATACAGAGCTGCCTGACCCCAGGCCCAGGAAGGAGCTGGAGTGACCCTTGTCCATCTCTCTCTTTGGGCTCAGAGTCAGTATCTCAGGGCAGCCTTCCCTGTTACCCACACACATCCATCGGCTGCAGATACATGGCACACCGGTAGCCCATTAAACCCCTGCCAGCCTCTACCACGGAAGCCCAGATTCCTCCTGTCAGATGTCACTTTGGAAAGCTGAGAGCAATGGAGTGAGACAGAACAGCAGTTGCAGGAATGCAGTTGGGTTAACAACAATAATACCAACAGCCAGCACTCCCTGTATGCCCAGCTGAGTGCTTTGTGCCGGTTAATTCATTTAAACCCTGAGACAACCTCTGTGGAGCATCCTACTTTTAGCCCTATTCACAAATGCAGAACTTGAAGCACAGAGAAGTGAAGCAACTTGCCCAAGGACACACAGCTCAGCAGTGGTAGGGCTGAGATTCAAGCGCAGGTGGTCTGGCTTCAAAGACTGTAGTTTTAAGTGCTCACTGTGTTTTGCAGCCTCTTCCGTAGGTGGAAGGAAGGGTGAAGGAGAAGCTAAAGAAAGCATGGTGCACCCTAGGCAGGGCTGAAAAACAACAAAGACACCAAGAGAGCACCAGTCACCTGGAATGGCAGAGGGTTTGATACAGGGGAGTTTTTGATACTCTAAAAGTAGTTCAGTCAATACGTAATAATGATAATGGTAACAACAACAGCACCTGACGTTTACAGAGCTCTCGGCAATCTGTGTGCCTACATTCATTCAATGAATCCCATCAACGAATCCTTACAGAGGACCTACTCCATGTTGGGCAACCAATGAACAAAATGAATGCTATCCTTGCCCTCACGGAACTCAAATAAACGTGGAAATAAATATATCAGGGCAAACCCAACTTTAGCTTTCCTTGTTGGCAGGATTAACTCCAGGTCTCAAAGCTTCCCCTCTGAATGGCTTCAAAGTTAGCCATGGCATAAGAGCTCTTGAAAAAATGAAGGTCATTTTCAGAAGGGAGGAGGCAATGGCCTTGCAAGGAGGAGGGAGGGCTAGAGATAATTCTCTCTCCTACCCTGCTGCTGGTACCCTGTACCAATATTTATTTATTCATATTTATTTATTTGTTATTTATTTACTGTATTATATTAATTCATTCTCACATTGTTATAAAGAACTACCTGAGACTGGGTACTTTATTTAAAAAATTAATTAAAATTTTTTAATTTATTAAAAAAAAAGGAGGCTTAATTGAGTCACAGTTCCACAGGCTGTACAGGAGGCATGGCTGGGGAGGCCTCAGGAAACTTACAATCATGGTAGGAGGGTGAAGGGGAAGCAGGCACATTTGCACATGGCAGCAGGAGAGAGAGAAGAGGAAGTGCCACACACTTTTAAACCATCAGTTCTCGTGAGAACTCCCTTACTATCGCAAGAACAGCAAGGGAGAAATCTGCCCCCATGATCCGATCACCTGCCACCAGGTCCCTCCTCCCAACATTGGGAAATATAATTCAACATGAGATTTGGGTGAGGACACAGAGCCAAACCATATCATTTATTTATTTATTTATTTATTTAGGACACAGGGTCTCACTTTGTCACCCAGGCTGGAGTTCAGTGGTGCAGCTGCTCACTGCAGCCTCCAATTCCTGGGCTCAAGTGATCATCCCACCTCAGCCTCCCAAGTGGCTGGGACTACAGGCATGTGCCACCATGCCTGGCTAATTTTTTTTTCTTTTATAGAGACAAGGTCTTACTATGTTGCCTTGGCTGGTCTTTAACTTTTGGCCTTAAGCGATCCTCCTGCCTTGACCTCCCAAAATGTTGGGATTTCAGGCGTGAGCCACCATGCGTGGCCTCCAGTATTTCTCTATACTTTTTTCTTTAGCCCCTAAAGCGAAACTATTTTTCTACTCGCAACACTTCTGACACTAAATATGTGGGTTTTCCATACCAAGTGATTATCCAGTTCTCTGTGGATACCAACTGAGTGTCCTGCAATTGAATTCAATTCTGACACTAACTATCTGGAGTTAGCATAGATCCTACCGGTTAAGGGCTCAGTCCCACAAGACTGTCCCCCACTTCAGAAGCCAGTTGCAAATTTGGGTGCCCATGGTACCCACACTTTTGTCTGACTGGTTGGAGTTGGAGTTGGAGTTCGCATAAGTCCCTGCTCATATTTGATAATTTGCTATAACTGCTCACATAATTCAGGAGACACTTTACTTATATTTATTGGTTTATTATAAGAGATGTGAGAAAGGATATAAAGAACAGTCAGATGAAGAGGAACATAGGGCAAAATCCAGAAGGGTCCCAAGGACAGGAGCTTCTATCACCATGGAGTTGGGGCACACCACCCTCCTAGCACACGGAGGTTTTCAGCAACCCGGAAGCTCTCCAGTTCTGTAGTTGAGGGATTTTTATGGAAGCCTCATCACATAGGCATGAAGAATTATTAGTTCAATCTCTATCCCATCTCTCCTTCCCAGAGGATGAAGGGTGGGACTGAAAGATTCAAGCCTCAATCTGGTGACCAGCCCCCATCCTGAAGCTATCCAGGAGCCCACCAAGAGTGGCCTCATTAGAACAAAAGATGCTCCCAGCACCCCTGTCACTCAGGAAATTACAAGGCTTTTAGGAGCTCTGTCTCAGGAACTGGAAGCACAGACTAAATGCATGTTTCTTATCACGTCACAGCATCCTGAACATTCTTCCTTCTTAGCCCTTCTCTTTATCACCTTGCTCATGGGATGACAAAGTAAGAATAAGCCAGAAGCAGAGATCTTGCTCACCCCAATAATTGTACAAAAGATCTAGCTCAGCTGGGTGCGGTGGCTCAAGCCTGTAATCGCAGCACTTTGGGAGGCCGAGGCGGGCAGATCACGAGGTCAGGAGTTCGAGACCAGCCTGGCCAACATAGTGAATCCCCACCTCTACTAAAAGTACAAAAATTAGCCAGGCATGGTGGTGCGTGACTGTAATCCCAGCTACTCGGGGGACTGAGGCAGGAGAATCATCTGAATCTGGGAGGCAGAGGTTGCAGTGAGCCGAGATGGTGCCATTGCACTCCAGCCTGGGCAACAGGGCGAGACTCCATCCCCCCCACAAAAAAAAAAAAAAAAAAAAACAAAAAAAAAACTCTAGCTGAAGCCCTCTGCTCTCAAATGGCCAAAGATACAACAGTGGATGAGACGGAAAAGGTTTCACACAGGATGCAAGACCCTGCAAGCTAGTGTTGGTTCACTTGTGAAAACCCTCCTTCTTCCCAAATGTTAAAAATTCATGAGCTGCCCAGTTAGGTATAGAAATCACTTCTGATCCAGGGCGTTGCCAAAGTATTACCCATATTCTTGAGATTTCCTAGACATTCATTTGTCTTCATGGTCTGCAATCACTGGAAATACATATCCAGGTCATTCCAAAATATAATTAAACGTCAGACACCATCCATACAACAGAATACTGTGTGGCAATAAAAAGAATGAAGCACTGATAAATGTTACAACATGGATGAACCTTCAAAACAAAGTGGCTGGACGCAGTGGCTCATGCCTATAATCCCAGCACTTTGGGAGGCTGATGTGGTTGTATCACCTGAGATCGAGAGTTCGAGACCAGCCTGACCAACATGGAGAAAACCCGTCTCTACTAAAAATACAAAATTAGCCAGGCGTGGTGGCATGCGCCTGTAATCCCACCTACTTGGGAGGCTGAGGCAGGAGAATTGCTTGACATCTGGAGGGGGAGGTTGCGGTGAGCCAAGATTGCGTGATTGCACTTCAGCCTGGGCAACAAGAGCAAAACGTTGTCTCAAAACAAAACAAAACAAAACAAAACAAAACAAAAACACACATACAAAGTGAAGGAAACTAGTCACAAAAGGCCACATATTGTTTGAGTCCATGTGTCTGAAATGTCCAGAATAGGGAAATCTGTAGAGACAGAAAGTAGAGCATTGGTCATCAGAGGCTGGAAGGGGCTCCAGGGAAATGGGGAAGGACTGGTACTATGTACCGAGTTTCTTTTTGAGTGATAAAAACGTTCTAAACATAGGTAGTGTTGATGGCTGCACAACTCTGTGAATAACCTACAAGCACTGAACTGTACATTTCTTTTTTTGGGGGGGGCAGGGGGACAGAATCTTGATCTGTTGCCCAGGCTGGAGTGCAGCGGTGCAATCTTGGCTCACTGCAACCTCTGCCTCCCGGGTTCAAGCGATTCTCCTGCCTCAGCCTCCCGAGTAGCTGAGATTACAGGCACCCACCACCACACCCAGCTAATTTTTGTATTTTTAGTAGAGACGGGGTTTCACCATATTGCCCAGGCTGGTCTCAAGCTCCTGACCTTGTCATCTGCCTGCCTCGGCCTCCCAAAGTGCTGGGATTACAGGCGTGAGCCACCACACCTGGTCTGAATTGTACATTCTTTTATGACTAGTTTCCTTCACATTTCTAAAAGGGTGAATTTTATGGTATGTGAATTGTATCTCAATAAAGTTGTAAAATAACAGCTGTAAACAGTTTAAAAATTCGGGCACCATCTCTGCAGCTATAGTGGGTCAGATTTCACTGAATTACATTAAAAGGTTATGCAAGATTTACAGGATAAAAACCAGGCAGAGGTCAAGTGCAGTGGCTCACACCTGTAATCCCAGTACTTTGAGAGGCTGAGGTGGGAGGGTTGCTTTAGGCTAGGAGTTTGAGTCCAGCCTGGGCAACAAAGCGAGACCCTGTCTCCTCCAAAAACACTTTTATTTATTTTTTTTTAATTAGCTGGGCATGGTGGCACACGCTTGTAGTCCCAGTTACTGGAGAGGCTGAGGCAGAAGGATTACTTGAGTACAGGAGTTTGAGATTACAGTGAGCTACGACCACGCCACTGTACTCCAGCCTGGGCAACAGAGAAAGACCCTGTCTCTTAAAAAAAAAAAAAAAACACCAGGCAGGATGTCATCACTAGAGTTTAAGTATATTTCTGCACAGGTAAATAAATACATAGAATCATTATTTATATAAGGAATATCAGACAAATTCATTATTCAATGTAATGATAACTTTATTTTATTTTATTTATTTATTTATTCATTTATTGAGACAGAGTCTCACTCTGTCGCCCAGGCTGGAGTAGTGGCTCCATCTCCGCTCACCGAAAGCTCCGCCTCCCGGATTCACGCCATTCTCCTCCCTCAGCCTCCCGAGTAACTGGGACTACAGGCACCTGCAACCACGTCCAGCTAATTTTTTGTATTTTTAGTAGAGACGGGGTTTCACCATGTTAGCCAGGATGGTCTCGATCTCCTGACCTCGTGATCCACCCGCCTCGGCCTCCCAAAGTGCTGGGATTACAGGTGTGAGCCACCAGGCCTGGCCCAATTTAATAACTTTAAAAATAAATTCAAAGCAGATATTTTTACAATAAATAGTACAAAAAGGAAAACTTTAAAAAAAAGAAGAAGAAAAAAAGAGCAATGGCTATCACTGTATCAAGTACTAATTTGAAGGAGGGGGAGTTGTACTGATTTTAACTGCGTATCAGTTTAAATTATCCCCAAAGAGTTTCTGGCTAGGATCCAGATACCTATAACATGTATTTTACATGAAAACTCAAATCTTCACAACAACGTCGATTTTGGGTGTGCTTATTCCCATTTATAGGTAAAGCAGCTGAGACTGGAAAGGCTAAGAAACTTGCCAAGGATATCCCCATAGGAACTGATGCTAATGATATTTAAACGCAAGTCTGCCTGGCTTCAAAGCCTATCTTCTCTCTTCCAGCTAATTTCATGGCACTGCACAAATAGTTTCTCTGAACCAGATGAAATGCCTTTGCCTACAGCCCCAAGCAAACAGTATTTCTTCTATGCAATACCAAGACAACAGTACTTTTAAACAAAAGTTTACATTTATCTTTAATCTTAAGACATTAAATGTGTGAACATCAACTGAAGCAAAGAAATGTGGACACTGAAGTAATTGTTATTCAACTATTTTCTGAAGTAACTAAGAAGAACAGTAATTCCCATATTAAGGATCATCTGACATGGGCTGGGCATGGTGGCTCACACCTGTAATCCCAACACTTTGGGAAGCCGAAGCGGGCGGATCATTTGACGTCAGGAGTTCGAGACCACTCTGGCCAACATGGCAAAACCCCACCTCTACTAAAAATACAAAAAAATTAGCTGGGCGTGGTGGCACGTGCCTGTAATCCCAGCTACTCAGGAGGCTGAGGTGGGGGAATCGCTTGAACCCAGGAGGCGGAGGTTGCAGTGAGCCGAGATCACACCACTGCACTCCAGCCTGGGTGACAGACAGAGCGAGACTCCATCTCAAGAATAAATACTTTTTTTAAAAGGGTCATCTGACTTGGAAAGGGGTGCTTTTCCCCATCTACAGATGCAGCTGGAACAAGACTGTCAAAAAAAGTAAATTATAGCACAAGCCCAGAGGGTCTGTGATCCCGCAGCTGCGTGTATCCATGTGGCTCAGGGTGGTCTTCGCTTCCCCGTCATTTAGGATCATTCAGACCCTCCCCAGAGCCACAGTTTGCTGGAGATGTTGTCTGCATGGTGAGTGTCACCCAGGAGGATCCTCATGGGAGACTGAACCTGTTCTATGCTATAAACATCACACAGGCAAGAACAAGAAAAGCAGACAAATATTGCCATCCTATCAGTTTGTTTATTTTTGACTATTCCGTTTCTCAGGGAAACAGGAAATGTAAGATAATGGAATATTTGTTTTTTGGTAGGGCAGATTTCGTTTCATTTTTCTGAATATGCTACCGGTATTTTCCCAAGACAGACTTAAGGTGGAAGGAGGTGATGCAGGGAGTTCAGAGGTGGGATTAGAAGGCCAGAGAGCTCGAGGCTGGGCAGGGAGACCACAGACCTCACTCTGCAAACATCTCCTGGGCCCTCCTGTGTGCCTGACCAGGGTCAGGACAGGTATAAGGATGAAGAAGGCAGGCAGGATCTCTATCTTGGGCACCTGGGCGGGTGGTGGCAGCGTTGACTGAGGTTGGGGTACAAGAAGAGAAGAGAACATTTTTGATGGGAATTCATGCAGTTGTTTGGAAATGTTGAGTTGCAGGTTCTGCAGCAGCACCTGGCGGCCGGGATCAGGAGGCAGGTCTGTCATTCAGGAGAGGCCTGAGGGTTCAATGTTGAGCAGCCACAGACACTGCCCCACCGCTTCTCTTGGAGTCAGACATTCCTCAACAATCACACAGATCCATTTGAAATGGCTAAGAAGGAAGAACAGATGAGCAGACTGTGACATAGGCAGGGAGATGCAAGCCAGCTGCTTGGGGAGGTGATGTTGGAGCTGACTTCTGAAGCATGCAGACATGGACACAGGAAGGGGAACATCACACATAGGGGCCTGTTGTGGGGTGGGGGGAGGCGGGGAGGGACAGCATTAGGAGATATACCTAATGTTAAATGACGAGTTAATGGGTGCAGCACACCAACATGGCACATGTATACATATGTAACAAACCTGCACGTTGTGCACATGTACCCTAAAACTTAAAGTATAATAAAAATAAATAAATAAATAATTATTTTTTAAATAAATACTTATTTAAAAATTAAAAAAATAAAAAATAAAAAATAAAGAGTTGGCTGAATGAAGAGGAGCAGAGAGGGACTTCGCTGCAGGCAATAAAAACAGCATATGCAAAGCCCCTGTGGCCAGAGGGGACAGCACTAGTATACTAGTATCCAGGCTGGGGAGAAAGCCACTGAGCCTGGGCCAGAGAGGCTGATGGGGGAGTGTGGGTAAGATGGGTTTGGAGCAGAAGGCAGGGGTCAGACCACACAGAGCCCCGTAAGCCGTGAAGTTTTGTCTTAACATATTTGCGTTTCCACATTTCACTCCTCTAAATGGCATTTGGTAGATTTGTCACAACATGGCAGAATTACAGAAGAGTTGCAAAGGTCATCTTGTCTGTGCTCCTCCTCCTGACAGGAGTGTCTCTATGTGCCGTGCTTAAAATTCCAAGGAGAGTCTGTCAGATGCTACACAGCAAGGTTAAGCTTTATGAAGCAGCCGTGGGAGTGCTCCTGTGCTTTCTGTTGAATGAGTCTGTTTTAAATGTCTACCACAAACCCCATTTCCGGGCTGCCCCATTTCTGTCAAAGGCTTCGTAACGCGCTCCCTGCTCACAACCTGGGCCTCAGGCTTCCTTCCCCTTCCCTTCCCTTCCTGCTTCCAAGGAATAACAGATCAGCCTTTGACATCCCATGGCCCCCACTTGCTGCCGTGCCCCTGAGATCATAGATGTGGAGGAGATGAGAGCAAGGGCAGACTGCCGTCCTACTCCAGGCCAGCCAGGCCCTGGGCATCCTCTAAGTTCATTTGTGCCTCTCCACTAGCAACAACCATCCAGTGACCAACTCCTCAGTGACCAAAATCTATTATAATGTCCATTCCTCCCATCAATCTGGTGGGATTCAAGTGATCTTCCTATTTGGGGCATGAGGAAACTGAGTCACAGAGTGGTCGGTGACTTACCCAAGGGCTCACAACTGTAAATGTGGGAGCCAGAAGTGAACTGGCATCCTTCTACCCATGTCCATGCTGCTGCCACCTTGCCCTGCCCTGCCCAGTGATGACTGCAGCCAGTCTTGTCCTAACAGGTCTGCTGGCCTCCACCCACGTGCTCCAGTTCTGGGTGCAGGGGAAGCACTGGATGATCATAGTTGTCCAGAGGCGGCACCATGCAGGAGGGAGCAGGGGCGGGTGGCTCTGGCTGAATCCTAGCTCTTCCACTTTCTTGCTGAGTGATCTTAGGCCAAAAACTTCACCTCTCTTTGCCTTTATTTCCATGTATGTAAAATGGAATAAAGATAGGAGCTACCTCACAGAAGAAGTATCAAGAGGCTTACGTGGGGCGATATATGTAAAGTGCTTAGCCCCATGCCTGGTACACACTAAGGGCTCAAGAGATATGAGCTGTTGTTTCCACAGCCTCCAGAGAACTCTTCCTAAAGCCTGCTCTACAGGTGTCTACCCCACTGCATCCAAACCCTCGACGGCTGCCTGGTAGCCATGAAACACAGTTCAAACTCCTACCTCTGGTGCCAGGCCCTTCCCAAGCTTGCCATTCCTGATCTGTCCGCCCTAATTCTGGCTGCATCCCCAACAAACCTTCCACTCGAATCACCACATTCCTCCTGACTCTGCCTGTTCGCATATGACTTCTCCCGCTTGTTGTGGGAGACTTCGTCTAATACGCATTCAACAAACGCGCTTACTGTCTGCCGGGCCTTGTGGAGAGTCTAGAGACGCAGTGGTAAACAAAACAAGCAAAGTTCCTGTCCTCAGACCACCTATGGGGAGTGGAGAAACAGACAGTTAAAAAAAAGATGAATGTATAATTCTTTTTTTTTTTTTTTTTTTCTGAGATGGAGTCTCGCTCTATCGCCCAGGCTGGTGTGCAGTGGCGCCATCTCGGCTCACTGCAAGCTCCACCTCCCGGGTTCACACCATTCTCCCGCCTCAGCCTCCCGAGTAGCTGGGACTACAGGCACCCGCCACCACGCCCGGCTAATTTTTTTGCATTTTTAGTAGAGAGTGGGTTTCACCGTGTTAGCCAGGATGGTCTCGATCTCCTGACCTCGTCATCTGCCCGCCTCAGCCTCCCAAAGTGCTGGGATTACAGGCGTGAGCCACCGCGCCCAGTCATGAATGTATAATTCTAAATGGTGTCTAGAGCTAGGAAAAGAGAACTCTCAGAGTGAGATAGAGAAGATAACAGGAAGTGCCTACGGGAGACCAGTGGCCCGGGAGGGCTTTTCAGGGACAGAATTTCAGCGGAGACATGAGTATGAGACGGGACTGGCCTAGAAAAGAGTGTGAGGGAGGGTATCTCAGCGGAGACATGAGTATGAGACGGGATTGGCCTAGAAAAGAGTGTGAGGGAGGGTATCTCAGGGAAACAGGGAACAGCTTACGCAAAGACCGTGGCTGGAGGGAGTGCGGCACATTCAGTAAAGAACTGAAAGGTCAGTAGGCTGTAACTGGGAGTTAGGGGTTGGGCTGAGGAGGAGGAGGGAGACACATGAGATGAAACAGAAGACATGGGGGAGAGCTGGATCAGGCAGAGCCTTGGAGGCAGGAAATGGAGGCCAGCTCCTCCTGGAAGTCTTCCCAGACTTCAGTCCTTGATTTCTTCCTCCAGATTCTTCTCGATCTTGATTTTCCCATCGCTTACGTAGGACCAGACTCTGACTATTTAAATCTTCAGAGTCAAGAACATAGGAGGAGTTGCCTCCTTTGGTGGGAGGCTGTCCGGGCCACTCTAAAGTCCTGTTTCTCTGACTCTGTGGATTGAGGATGCGGCTGTGACTAGGCTGACCTGGGCTTCCACTCCCATCTCTAATCCTCCCAAGGGAACACCCAGCATAGGCACTGGGCTACCCCGAGTATTTTGGTTTCTTTGGGTTCTTTTGAATAAAGCCCTTATCTGGGTGGGGATCTCTGTTTTCCAAAATCGGTCTGCCCCTTCTGACAGGATGTCAGGCCTCTTACGCCACTGGGCAGTGCTGCACTCTGGAGTGCCCAGGGCATGTGAGCGGGACAGGGAGCCTGTGAGAGGCTGATGCAGACCTCGGCATCCCCAGGGGAACTAAATAAAGCTATTGTTGGGAAGGGAAGAGAGAAAATAGCCGGCAAGATGTTTTTTGTCCTCTGTGACCTGTCTGTGTTTGGGGAGGGGCTGGCATGTTGCAAAGGGGTAGAAGTGGGAATGGCCTTCGACACCCATTTGAACAGCTTGGGAAGTGGGGTGGCCACAGGGCAGCAGCACCGTCTTCACTGTCTGGCTTCGGGCAAAGGGCTGTGTTTTCTTTCTTTCTTTTTTTTTTTTTTCTTTTTTTTTGAGACGGAGTCTCGGAGTCTCGCTCTGTCGCCCAGGCTGGAGTGCAGTGGCACGATCTCGGCTCACTGAAAGCTCCACCTCCTGGATTGACGCCATTCCCCTGCCTCAGCCTCCCTAGTAGCTGGGACTACAGGTGCCCGCCACCATACCTGGCTATTTTTTTTTTTTTTTGTATTTTTAGTAGAGATGGGATTTCACCATGTTAGCCAGGATGGTCTCCATCTCCTGACCTTGTGATCCGCCCGCCTTGGCCTGCCAAAGTGCTGGGATTACAGGCATGAGCCACCGCGCCCGGCCAGCGCTGTGTTTTGTTATCTATAACATGGGGGAGGGAAAGGATGCTACCATCCATAAAGTGCCTGGTCCCGTTCCTGGCCCTTCTTACATGACAATAAATACAGTCACTTTTAGCCTGGAGGTAATATGGTGGCTGATTCACCCCGTATGCAATGCCATGGCATCCGGTTTCATTTCTTGAGCTCTAACAACTGACTTTAGAAATAGAAGCCTGGGCGACAGAGCGAGACTCCATCTCAAAAAAAAAAAAAAGAATGTCTCCAAATTCTGCTGGTTCTCCCTTTGAAAATCTCCTGGACTGGCCTGGAGGAATTAAAACACTAGCTCATAAGGACATGTGTACAAAGATGTTTAATGAAGTCTCGTTTATAGTAGCAGAGAGAGAATGAATAACACAAATGTCTATTAATAGGAAACCAGTGCACGTGTACATGTGTAGACGGTGCAGCTATTATTAAAACTATCAGGATTGGCTGGGCGCGGTAGCTGACGCCTGTAATCTCAGCACTTTGGGAGGCCGAGGCAAGCGGATCACAAGGTCAGGAGATGAAGACCATCCTGGCCAACATGGTGAAACCCCGTCTCTACTAAAAATACAAAAATTAGCTGGGCATGGTGGCTCGTGCCTGTAATCCCAGCTACTCAGGAGGCTGAGGCAGGAGAATCGCTTGAACCAGGGAGTTGGAGGTTGCAGTGAGCTGAGATCGTGTCACTACACTCCAGCCTGGCAACAGAGCAAGACTCTGTCTCCAAAAACAAACAAACAAACAAACAAAACAAAACAAAACAAAAAACTATCGGGATAGAACTATCTTTATTGACATGGGAGGAGGGGTGTATACAGTGTGACGTTAAGAGATAAGAGCTATTTTCAAAAATACAAACATCAGCCTCAGCCATATCCGTGCATACGTGTTTGCAAAGATTGCACGTGGTGAGGGATGGGCAGGAATACACCCCAGACACACTGGGGAGGTGAGATTAGTTACCTGGTCTGGAGAAGGGGAGTGGGGAAAGATAGAAGAAAATAAAAACATCTGTAGCAAAAATAAGAAAACACTTATGGTATAATATTAAGTGAGAAGATAGATGCAAAATTCTACCTCTAATATTGTTGTAAAGTATCCTGGGGGTTTTATTGGACATATAAAAATTATAAGGTAATGTGGACCAATGCAAACACTGATTTGGTTAGACAATGAGATTGTAGACAATTTTTGTCTTGAATTTCTCTGGTCATTTTAATACTATTATTTCAATAAAGAAGTGTCACAAAAAAAAAAAAAGAAAAGAAAAGAAAAGCTCTGGGAGTGCTCCCACTCCCTCTACCATTTCTTCCCAGTCCAGGCCCAACCAGTGGCATTTACTGTCTTTAGAATGAATTCCAAACTGGCCCCTGGCCCTTCAGTCACCACTAGCACAAATCCATCCTGCCCACAGCTGGCAGGTCGCTCCCCGGTTCCAGAACTATCCTGCTTCCCCACTGTCCATCCAAGCAACCTGAACTCCCCTCTTTGGTTTCAAAGGCCCCCAATAATCTGGCCCCAAATTACCTCTTCTGTGTCCCCAGCACTAGCCCGGAGTCTTGCCAGCCCATACGTGGTTCTAAAAAGATTGCTGTTTCCCACAAGTCAAAGTAAAAAATGGCAAAGGAGGCTGGGCGCAGTGGCTCACGCCTGTAATCCCAGCACTTTGGGAGGCCAAGGCGGGTGGATCACGAGGTCAGGAGATCCAGACCATTCTGGCTAACACGGTGAAACCCCGTCTCTACTAAAAATACAAAATATTAGCCGGGCGTGGTGGCGGGCGCCTGTAGTCCCAGCTACTCCGGAGGCTGAGGCAGGAGAATGGCGTGAACCCAGGAGGCAGAGCTTGCAGTGAGCTGAGATCGCACCACTGCACTCCAGCCTGGGCGACAGAGCAAGACTCCATCTCAGAAAAAAAAAAAGAAAGAAAAAAAAAGGCAAAGGAAAATTTCCCCTAGTATCAGGAAAATCCATTGCTTTGGATGAATTCTGAAATGTTTTCTGTGAAATATCTTACTTAAACATTCTCAGATTTTGCTAGATTGACTTTCTGTGTTCTCTAAATACAGATACAGCACCTACTCCACAATTTCTAGCAATGAACACATTCCTCCAATTTCATTTAAGAACCCTGGAGAAGGACATGCCGTTCAAATATACAATTCTGTTCAGCAATCACCTGCAAAATAGATTTATTGCAGATCAAATCATATTAAGTGGCCGGGAGGGGTGGCTCACGCCTGTTATCCCAGAACTTTGGCAGGCCGAGGTGGGTGGATTACCTGAGGTCAGGAGTTCGGGACCAGCCTGGCCAACATAGTGAAACCCGGTCTCTACTGAAAATACAAAAATTAGCCAGGCATGGTGGCACAGCCTGTAATACCAGCTACTCGGAAGTCTGAGGCAGGAGAATTGCTTGAGCCCAGGAGACAGAGGTTGCAGTGAGCCGAGATTGTGCCACTGCACTCCAGCCTGGCAGACAGAGCAAGACTCTGTCTCAAAAAAAAAAAATCATATTAAGTTGCATAAAATAAATCCTTCCTTCCTATGGGTCTTTGTTTATTAGAGCTCATGAAGAATCTAAACATGCCCCACGGGAAGACCGTGGTGGTCTGCACCATTCACCCTTGGGGGAACTCTGTGCCTTCTATCCATCCACCCACAACCTACTCATCCTTCAGAACCCTGGTCAGAGCCTCATTTCCTCTGGAGCAGGGGTCCCCCACCTCTGGGCCACAGACCAGTACAGGTCCATGGCCTGTTAGAAACAGAGCTGCACAGCAGAAGGTGAGCCGTGGGTAAGTGAGTGAGGCTTCATCTGTATTTACAGCCACTCTGCATCACTCGCACGACCGCCTGAGCCCCATCTCCTGTCAGATCAGAGGCAGCATTAGATTCTCATAGGAGTACTAACCCTGTCGTGAATTGCGCATTCGAGGAATGTAGGTTGCCCTCTCGTTATGTAAATCTAATGCCTGATGATCTGTCACTGTCTCCCATCACCCCCAGATGGGACTGTCTAGTTGCAAGAAAACAAGCTCAGGGCTCCCACTAATCCTACATTATGGTGAGTTGTGTAATTATTTCATCATGTATTACAAGGTAATAATAATAGAAATAAAATGCACAATAAATGCAATGCTCTGGAATCATCCTAAAACCATCCCCTCATCCCCCTCTAGTTCGTGTAAAAATTCTCTTCCACAAAACTGGTCCCTGGTGCCAAAAATGTTGGGCTCTGCTCTGGAGACTTGCACATGACCGCGACGTACCCCACAGCTTCCTGCCATGCTGCCTCACTCTGCTCTTTCATTGTACAGCCCATGGGTCCAAGCAGATAATAAATCCTCTGAGGGCAGAAATCTTGTCTCAACCTTTGGTGTGCCCCAACCAGCACAAGACACATAACTAGCCACATAGTTCTCATTCAGTCGTGCCCACGCAATTGATTTGATATTATTTTATTGATCACTATCATGGGGGGTGGGGAGCATTTATTACACCCCAGATATGCATATGATTCCCAGAAAAGTGTGCCTTGATGGAGAGAGTGCTTGATGGAGAGTCAAGACACATAAACTTGACTTCCGGCGCAGTGGCTCACACCTGTAATCCCAGCACTTTGGGAGGCTGAGGCGGGCGGATCACGAGGTCAGGAGATCGAGACCATCCTGGCTAACACAGTGAAACCCCATCTGTACTAAAAATACAAAAAATTAGCCGGGCATGGTGGCGGGCACCTGTAGTCCCAGCTACTCGGGAGGCTGAGGCAGGAGAATGGTGTGAACCCGGGAGGCGGAGCTTGCACTGAGCCGAGATCGCACCACTGCACTCCAGCCTGAGCGACAAAGCGAGACTCTGCCTCAAAAAAAAAAAAAAAGTACATCAGGGGCTTCAGCTGTCTAAGCAGTGTTTTATTTCTTAAGCAAGCTGATGTCTGTAATATTGCTCTTTAAGGCTTTTTCCATATGTGAAATATTTCATAATTATTATTAAGTTAACAAGTAATAACCACCAGGAGTATTCTCATTACATAATATTAAGTGGAAAGAGCAAGAACCAAGACTGGATATCCACTATACTCCCAATTTTGTAAAAACAGAACAAATCAAGGGAAAACCTCAATACAGATTTTTTTTAAAAGAGCAGCAGATAATAAACCAAAACTGTTAGCAGTCTGAGGATGATTTTTATTGACGTCTTTATACTTAAGGTAATTGATATATATATCAATCAATAAGGTAACTGATGAGGTTCTTTCAATTAATCTTATCATATTTTGCAAAGTTTTTATAGTGAGTACTTATTGCTTTTGGAATCAAAATCAAATGTTGCTGTTTTTTTAACATGTATGTATTCACCATAGACACCAGGGTATGGTAAATTTTAGCCTGAAATCAAGGAAAAAAAAAACTATGGCTGGGCGCAGTGGTTTCCGGGGCTGGAATCCTAGCACTTTGGGAGGCTGAGGCAGGCGGATCACCTGAGGTCAGGAGTTCAAAATCAGCCTGACCAACATAGCGAAACCCCGTCTCTACTAAAAATACAAAAATTAGCCAGGCATGGTGGCACATGCCTGTAATTCCTGCTATTTGGGAGGCTGAGGCAGGAGAATCGCTTGAACCCAGGAGGCAGAGATTACAGTGGGCCAAGATCGTGCCACTGCACTTCAGCCTGAGCGAAAGAGTGAGACTCTGTCTCAAAAAAAATATTATTTAAAGTCTACTGCAGGCCACTCTTGTGCTAGACTAAAAGGGAACTGTTCAACTCAAGCTGGGAGTCTGACAGACCCAAGTTCAAGTCCCAGCTCCACCCCTTCCCAGCAACTCACTTGAGTCTCGATTTTCTTATCTGTAAAATGGTGATTAAAATACTTTCCCTGGTTGCCTTCTAAGGCCAGTGTGGGGGTAAAATGAGATGAGGGCCACAGAATGGCTTTGTGATGCACAGGCGGCCTTCTGCAGAGGCTCAGCAGCTACTACAGGACAGACCAGGCAAGAGACATCAAGAGGGCAAGGCTGCGTTCCTTCGGTGCCCACAGTGTAAGAGGACAGACAGTGCTGTCCATGGACAGCCGAGGAGAAGGGGTCAGGATGGCCCCCAGTTGGGAATGGTCCACATGGAAGGAAGTTATGTTATTAGTACATAACTAGGAGGGATAACCTTTGCCCTCACGCAATGCAAAATGTTCTTCTAGAAATCAAGAAAACACCCTCAAAAAACACATGAACAACATGAAAGGGGGAAAGCAAAGCTCAGGCCTGAGTCCTGGCTTCCTAGCTCCCTGGTTAAGTGATGGTGTGTGTGGGGAAGTATACAGTCTTTCCAGCCCAACTGTCTCACTTGTGTCAGAGGGAGAAGCATGCATGCCTCCTAGGTCTTGCTGAGGGGCCTGATTGAAGGACAGATTCAGTATCGAGCACCTTCCCTGGATCAGGCCGTGTTCTAGGAGCTGGGGGTGCAGCAGGGAACCAACCCAGCAAGGCTGCTGTCCTCAAGTGTGGCTTCCTAAGGGAGGTGACGCAGAGCAGTCGCTCAGCACGGAGCCTATGTGGTACAGTCGATAAACGCTTGTGCCAGAGGCAGACATGGCCGCTATTATTAAGCAGCCTCGTATGGTGGCCTGGGGAGGCTTAAGGGAAGTAGTGAAAGTTTTCAGGTGGTTGAAGTGTTATTTGAAAGAATAATGGGCCAGGCGCGGTGGCTCACACCTGTAACCCCAGCACTTCAGGAGGCAGAGGCAGGCGGATCCCCTGAGGTCAGGAGTTCAAGACCAGCCTGGCCAACATGGTGAAACCCCATCTCTACTAGAAATACAAAAATTAGCCAGGCATGGTGGCAGGCATCTGTAATCCCAGCTACTTGGGAGGCTGAGGCAGGAGAATCACTTGAACCCTGGAGGCAAAGGTTGCAGTGAGCTGAGATCGTGCCATTGCACTCCAGCCTGGGCAACAAGAGCAAGACTTGTCCCAAAAAAAAAAAAAAAAAAAAAAAAAAAAAGAGAATAATGTAAGACAGGAGTATGCCAGGAATAATTAAGCTTCCATTCACTGAGTGCCACACATGTAATAACTCAATCCTCACAGCAACCCCGTGGGATACTATTATTATCGTCTTCATTTGACAAATGAAGAAACTGAGGCATGGGTCAATGCAATAACTTGCCTGAAGTTGCACAGCGGTAAAGCCAAGATTGGAAACCAGTTGGTTTGTCCCACTCCATTGTCTCTGCAGATTGATGGGTGCCCCAGACAAGCTGGTCTTAAGAGCTCAGAGCTTCCTTTGGAAGCCAAAAGCACTGACATTGAGGGTGTTTGGGCCATGGCTGGGTGACCATCTGTCGAAGCATTCTTGTGGGGATTCCCGACCATATGAAATGAATGGATCTTTCTATGGAACAAGCAGCACCCAGAGCCTTGGTGGCAATGCTCTGAGATGTTAAGAGTGACTTCTTCTTGTCTCTTTCAGGTCACAGCCCCACACTTCCCGGTGGTAGTCAAGCTGGGACATGCCCACGCTGGAATGGGAAAGGTATGAGAAACAGCCCTTCCACTCACAGTGGACACACCCAGAGATTCCCCAGACTACCTGTTCCTCTCTCCCTCTGTCACCCATCAACCCCTTAGCACAGGCACCCAGAACAGAGTGTTAGAAAGAATCCATAGTACATCTCCTTCCCCTCCCAGCCCACCTTCCTCAGAGCTCCTGGTGCACAGAACATCTCTCCAGTTCAGTCCATCCTTGCCAAATCCTACCTGGAATTGCTAACTAATCATTCTCTATGATTGCGACTGAAGAGAAAGAGATGTAGAGCATTTTATTGAGCGTAATTATTTTGTAAGGGGTTGCTGTCATCATCTCCACAGCCATGTTGTAAGCCCATGTCTTACTCATCTCTTTATTAGTCCATTCTCACGCTGCTCTAAAGAAATACCTGGAACTGGGTAATTTTAAAGAAAAGAGGTTTAATGGCTGTGGCTCCACAGGCTGTATGGGAAGCATGGCTGGGGAGGCCTCAGGAAACTTTCAACTGTGTCAGAAGGCGAAAGGGAAGCAGGCCTGTCTTACATGCCTGGAGCAGGAGGAAGAGAGAGAAAGGGGAGGTGCTACACACTTTATTTTGTTTTTGAGACAGAGCCTCGCTCTGTCACCCAGGCTGGTGTGCAGTAGCGTGATCTCGGCTCACTACAGCCTCCACCTCCCAGGTTAAAGTGATTATCATGCCTCAGCCTCCCAAGTAGGTGGGACTGCAGGTGTGTGCCATAATACCTGGCTAATTTTTGTATTTTTAGTAAAGACTGGGTTTCACCATGTTGGCCAGGCTGGTCTCAAACTCCTGACCTCAAGTGATCCACCCGTCATGGCCTCCCACAGTGTTGGGATTATAGGCGTGAGCCACCACACCTGGCCAAAGTGCTACACACTTTTAAACAACCAGATCTCGTGAGAACTCACTCACTATTACAAGAACAGCAAGGAGAAAATCTGCCCCCATGATCCAATCACCTCCCACCAGGCCCCTCTTCCAACATGGGGGATTACAGTTTGACATGAGATTTGGGTGGGGACCCAAATGCAAACCATATCAATCACTGTAGGGCTGCTGACACCTAGAAAATGGCAAACACATCTGGCTTCATGGAAGAAGCCCCCAGAGTCAGTTAACTGCAAAAGTCAATAATATAATATATCTCACACAGTCACAAATAACATCCTGACAAACTATATTGGTCAGACTCCTTCAGTTGCAAGTGTCAAAATGTTCAAGATATTAGGATGTCTGAGATAGTTCTTGGTAGGAATCTACCAAGATCAGCAGAGCTGGATCCAGGAGTTCAAATGAAATAGAGCTTGATCTCCCTCTTTATCTCTTGGCTCTGTTCATCTCTACTTGGCATTTTCTTCAGACAGTCAAAATGGCTGTGAGCCACCCAACCTGGTCCCTAAGCTCACCATCCCCAAAGGATAAAGACCCTCTTTTTGTCCAGCACCTCTGTATCTAATCCCATGGAACCTTGCTTGGATCAATGTACTTGGCCTCAACAATGGGATGTAGAGATAGTTTAACACCAGTCAAACCATGTGCATCAGAGTCCCACAGGAAAGGGGGCACTGGGGGTCTCCCACAGTTTGCCTCTCAAGCCTCTGGTTCAGAAACAAGTGGGAACATGTGGGTCTCAGTACCTGCCACTCACATTGGAGGGGACTTGAGCCCAGACACAATGCCCAACATAGTGGGTCCTAGATAAAGTACAGCTGGAGTTAAACAATGTGAGGCCAAGTAGACACCTTTCTTTGAGTAGGCCCACCCAGACGTGAATAATTCTTCACCTCACATCTATAGTTTTCCCTACCCTGTTATACCTTCTGTATGGCTAAACTCCATTCCCTTCAGGCAGCCTAAAAAGGAATGGGTCAGCTGGGCGTGGTGGCTCACGCCTATAATCCCAGAACTTTGGGAGGCCAAAGAGGGTGGATCACCTGAGGTTCGGAGTTAGAGACCAGCCTGACCAACCTGGAGAAACCCCGTCTCTACTAAAAATACAAAAATTAGCCAGGCGTGGTTGCGCATGCCTGTAATTCCAGCTACTTGGAAAGCTGCGGCAGGAGAATCGCTGGAACCTGGGAGGTGGAGGTTGCGGTTAGCCGAGATCACGCCATTGCACTCCAGCCTGGGCAACAAGAGTGAAATTCAGTCCAAAAAAAAAAAAGAAAAGAAAAATCAAAACAAAAGGAATGGGTCAGGCAGATCAGGGCATGACCCATAGCTTGGACATCTTCATAAACTTGGGTGAGTTACCATCTAACTTCTCTTGGTTTCCTCATCAGTCAAATGATAATTCTAATAACTATCTTTTAAAAAGAGTCCTCCCTTCAGAGTATATCTCTCTAGAAAGTACACACCTTGAGGGCAGGAAGTTCTGCCTGGTTTTCCACTGCTGTATCCCAGAGCCCTGAGTGGCACCCGGTACACAGGAGGCCCCCTGCCCCACTTCTTGCTTGGGTGGATGAATGAACGAACCCCTCTTTAACCATCATCCTATGTCTGCCCCCCAATTCCCTTGTCTCCCACTGCCTCTTCCATCCTTGCATATGGCTCCAGCCCCCTCCACTCCACTAAAGCTGTCCTCTCAGTGGTCTCCAATGATCGTCTGTTGCTAATTCAGCAGGCACTTTTCTGTCCTTATTGGAATCCACCTCTCTCTATCATTTACAGTGGCTGGCCATCCTTCTGTCCCAAACTCTCCTTATAGTGGCCTCTGGTGCATGCTTCTCTCCTGGCTTTCCTCCTCTCTGTCTCTTGCCACTCCTTCTTGTTCTCCTTCAAGAACTTTTCTTCCTGCATCATCCCTAACCGTGGCTATTCCATCTGCACACGATCCCTGAGTGCTCTTGTCAGCTACCTCAGCTTCAGCTGCCATCTGCATGCCAACAGACTCCCGAGTCACCTTTTTCCTTCCCAGAGCATCAGGCTCTTATATCCAGTTATGTCCTCTACATCTCTACTTTGTCTCCCATGGAAACCTCAGAGCCTAAACATCCCAGACCAGGCTCAGCATCTTCCCAGACACCCTCACCTCCCTCCTTCTCCTCCTCCTCTGCTTCCTCCTGTGACCTCCATCTCTGCAGCAGGAACCACCAGTCATTTAGTTGCCTCAAAACAGAAACCTGGGAGTCATCTCCCCCTCCTCCATGTCCAAATGGTCTCCAAGTCTTGTCAATTGCCCCTTGTTAATGTTTCTCTGACCTGTATCTTTCTCTCCACCCATTTCCACTATCTTGGACAGCTCTGGTAAAGTCAAAGCATTCCCAAGAATTAAACTCTGTGCTTAAAGCTTAAAATAATCCCCAACAGGACATAAAAAGGAAATAAAGAGATGAGAAACTCAGGTCCAGAAGGGCCTCCCAAAACATGGAAAGGAGGGTGCACTCCAAGGATTAAAAAAAAAAAAAATGACACAGACGAGAATAAACTGAGGTTTGCAAAAATGCTGAGATCAAGGGAAAAGGACTTTTCTCCTTATGTTTGGAATGAGAAAACTTGCAGTAACAGTCTCGACCAAGTTGATGAAGCAAAGGATGTCATATTCATAGCTGAGAGAGAGAAAAACAAAGCTGGTACCTGTGGTACGTTTACCTTCTCTTGGGAGTGAAGATTGTCCTCCTGGAGACAAGCAAAGAGAACGTTCCTAGAAGAAAGCTGGTAAGGAGGCTGTCAATGAGCTCAGTGTTGCTTGAAATCTACCCAGGCCCCCATGGATGCAATTGCTGGCCTATCCCAAATTATACTTCACTCCTTTGTTCTTTTATACTTGTGGTGCCTACTCTATGCTGAGAATTGGAAAATCAATAGGACCCAGTCCCTGTCCTCAAGGAATTGGAGAGATAGTCGTGTAAATATGCATAATGTGTTGTTGGGGGCCTGGTAGAAGGCTGTGCAGAGGGTATGAGGCTTAGAGAAAAGAACTTAATTCTACCTAGTTGGAAAAGGCATCCTAGGAGAATTGAGGCTTGATTTAGAAAGAAAAGTGCATGGCCTTTGTTGGCACTGGTGATTAAGAGCATGCCCAGGAAAGGAGAAAATTCAACTAGTAAGAGGAAACCTGGCATCAGGGGAACTGCATGTGATTGGGTGTGCCTGGAGATTTAAGAAATCCTAAAAAATAAAAAAGACTAGAAGACAAGAGATGGAACAATTACCCCCTTGTATTAAAACAAAAAAATAGTGGACATCATGAGAAACAGAAATCAAAATATGGTGAAACTCTGTGCCATTTTGGGAGTGCTTAGACAGTGGTCCGTATTCATGGGGATACCATAAGTTCGTTAGAAGTCAGTCAGGTTAGACAAGTGGTTGGGAGGAAAATGATCTGCCCCCGGGCAGGAGGCATTTGGATGTGTCTGGAGGCAATTTTATTTGTTATAACCTGGGGACAGTGAGGGGGTAGTACTGATATTTACCAGGTAGAAGCCAGGGATGCTGCTAGACATCCACAGTACATAAGACAGCTTCCCACGACAAAAAATTGTACTGCCCCAAAATGTCAATACAGTCGATCCCACTTGTCTGCTGGGGATACATTCCAAGACCCCCAGTGGATTCCTGAAACCACTGATAGTTCTGAATCATTATTCCTCTACATACCTATGATAAAGTTTAATTTATAAATTAGGCACAGTGCCCTTGAACTTTGGGGGCCACTATGAAGTAGAATAACACTTACTTGAACATTCCGTGATAATGGATCCAGTAACTGAGATGGCTCCTAAGTGGCTAACGGGTGGGTGGCATATACAGCATGGACGTGCTGGACGCAGTGATGATTCACGTCCTGGGCAGAATGGAGCTGGGTGGTGCAAGATTTCATCACGCTACTCAGGATGGTGTGCACTTCAAAACCTAGGAATTGTTTATTTCTGGAATTTTCCATTTAATGTATCTGGACCGCAGTTGACCGTGGGTAACCAAAACCACAGATAAGAAGGGACTACTGGAGTATCAAGGTTGAGAAACATTGCACAAAACTAACTTCATTTCCTTTTTTGGAGATTTTACCAGACTAGAAACCAGAGGAAGCCGTGGTGATAATAGAGTTCAACATGTTTCAAAGCATGTTCTGAAGAATTGTAATTACTCAGGATGCCAAAATCTATTTTTGTCATATAGGTTTGGAAAACTCTGCATTAAAGTAAGCTTTTAGCGCAGAACTTCTTAGAGTCATAAATTTGGTCATATACATTGTTGGGGTACAAGAACGGAAAAGTAAGTAGAAATTCCCAGATTTATCTAACCCCAGAAAACTTTTGCCATTTTCTATTGAGATGGTTGTCCTTTTATTAATTTGTAAGAACATCTCACATTCGAAAACCATTAATGCTTTGTCATACTTTGGAACTATTTTCTCCTTTTGACAATGACATGTTTGCCTTATTATTCAGTTTTTAGCAATTTTTAAGTTTTTTTTTTTAAATGCAGCCATATGTCTCCGTCTTTGGAAGCAGATTGTTATTACGGTGGCTAAGGGTGTTTATTTGAATCTAGGTCACACCACCTAATAGTTGTGAGACCTTAGATAAGTTGCCTCGTCCACTTTAGTTTCTTCTCATGTAAAATGAACATAGTAATAATTGTATGAGCTTCGTAAGCTGGTTGTGAGGATTAAGAGACATTATATATGTCAAGCACATAGCTCAGTGCCTGAAACAAGTGGGCACACCAGAAATATGGCCCGTCATTATTAAGAATGTTCAGACCTGTTCTGGGCACCCAAAATCCAACCTAAGTCAGTAGGGGAGATATGATTAAATAGCATCATATGTCACATAATTTATTTCACTTGGCTACAAGTTTAGTATGACTCAGATGAGGACTGGGTTGCCAAAAGCTCTAATCAACAAATGCCAAATAAATAGATGAAAATAGGCTCAACTTTATTAGTCATCAGGGAAATGCAAATTGAAACCACAATGAGTTGCTACTTTATAGCCACGAGAATAGCCAAAATTAAAAAGATTAATAATGCTAAGTGTTGGTGAGAACATGGAACAGTTGGAACAGACACACAGAAAGTACATATTTTTTGTAAAAGCATAAATTTGTACAACCACTTCGGAATATAGCTTGATATTGTCTACTAAGCTGATCGCACAGGAGTTATTTTAGGTATACCTGACCTAAATACATGCATGTGTGACCAAAGCACATGATTATGCTAGATTTGTTTATAATTGCTGGAAATTCATATGTCCATTTAATAGAATAGATAAATCAATTGTAGTATATTCATATAAATGGAATATTTTCAGCAATAAAAATTAATGAACTACAACTACATATAGCAACTTGAATGAATCTCACAAACACACCATTTAGTGAAATAAGTCAGAAACAAAAGATTGCCTATTTCTATAGTTCCATTTATATAAAATTTAAAAACCAGGAAAACTTAACTATAGCATTAACTCATATACATATTTAGGTGATAGAACTTCTAAGAAAAGCAAGAGATTATCACCATAAAAGTCAGAATAGAAGTTATCTTCGGAGAGGACGGAAGGGATAGTCATGGAGATGAGGCAGAAGTGGGCAAAGTTCTAGTTCTTGATTTAGGGGGTGGTTATGTGGGTATTTGCTTTGTGATAGTTCATTGAGTTGTTGTTTTTTGTTTTTGCCCTTCTTCATAGTTGTGCTATATTTCAAAATAAGATTTTAAAAATGTAATTCACTCTTAGGATCTATGAATGGAAAGATGATACCCAGAACAAAAACAAGAGCCCTGCACCTAGCTAGCCAGTCCACAGCCAGAAGATTCTGGTGTTCTGGGCTGCACCAATTTTGGGTGTTTGAAAGGGATAGTGACAAATTAATGTATGGAAGAATGAACCAAGTAGTGGATGGATGAGGCATATACCCCAGAAGAACTAGAGAGAGTGTGACCAACAACATCTTCAGAAACATGGAGGATTATCATGGGAAGATAGATTAGACCGATTCTACATAACATCTAGTGGGCATAGTTGGGACCCAATCAGTGTTATCAGTCCTGTGGAAAGAGCAACTTTCTAACAATCAGAGGCACATCTTACTGGACTGCCCCCTTAGGTAAGAGGTTCTCATCACTGGACAGTTGGAGCAAAGATGAGAGAGTTAGGAAACTTATTGAGAGTTTCAAGAGATTAAGTATTATGTGAGGTTCTTAGCCTGAGATATTTGCACCCCCTGAAATAGAGACAAACTTGCATGTGTGTTTATGTGTGGATGTGACATGAGCATTTTGGGGGAAAGGGGTCCATAACTTCCTTCAGCTTCTCATTAGTCGCCTGACCAGCCCAATTAAGACACCATGGAGGTGACCCTTACATTATCCTCCAATGATGAGATTCTGTGGTATTAACCAATGTTATGAGCAGTCCATTGGAAGGAATTGCTCAATATCATGTTGATGCAGAGCAGGCAAGCCCCACAACTGGGACTTAGCCTGGGAAGGTTCTTGGCTTTGTTCGGGAAAGAATTCAAGAGCAAGAGAGCAAACCAGTGGTAGGAGAAAACAGCTTTATTGAGTCAGCAGTGTTACAGCTCCGTGACTCCTCCTGCAGAGCAGGGCTACCCCACAGGCAGTGTGTTGAGAATAGGAGCTCGGGGCAGTGTTTCAGTCATATTTATACCCATTTTAATTACATGCAAATTAAGAGGCGGGCTATTCAGAAATTTCTAGAAAAGGGGTGGATCTGTCAATGCCATGGAAAGAGGCAGTAACTTCTGAGTTACTGGCAAGGGTAAACTGGCATGTACTGGTGAGCATGTCTTATGGAGAGGTGCTTTTGCCTCTTCCCTGGTTCAGCCAGTCATCAGTCTGGTCTGGAGTAAAGACCTGCCTCCCACCTCAGCGTTTCCATCGTAGAATTAGAAATTAAGCTCAAGGCCAACCGCTGGTATAGTGTCAGGGTAAAGCTTACAGAATCTGGAGTCAAGGTTCCTGGTTTAAATCTGGATTTACTATTTACTGTTTGTGTGTCCTTGGGCAAGTTGCTTAACTTTTCTCTGTGCTTCAATTTCCTCATCTCTAACACAGGGACAATAATCTCCCTCCCAGGGTTGTAATGATGATAGAATAAATTAATCCAGGCTTAGGAAGGTGGTTGGTTCAGTGAATGGGAGCTTTAAAAACACACTACAAATATACCCTGTTATGTTGATTACTTAACCATTTATCTCAGCTGAGATGAAATAAGCAGTTACAATAGACAAAAAGGGGAGAGGAATTGGATTAAATTCTGAGTAAATTCTTAAAATAAGGAAATTCAGCATCCCCAGGAGAGGCTGCAGTCACAAATGAACCCCACTCTAGGAGTCATCTTATCCTTATTTCATAGATTCAGGCTCTCAGGGCTTGACTCCCAGCACCTCACTTAGAAGATAAGAACTTGCGGCCCAGAGAGGACAAGGGCCTTGCCCAAGGCCACACAGCAAGGGAGCATCTCCAGTAACAGAACAGGAAGGGAAAGAAAGGCCTTTGAAATCGTTCAGCCCCATTCCATTCTTTAGAGATGAGAAGAGTAGTAATAATACGAGCAATAATAATCACAATAATAAAAGCCAGTGTTCTGTAGAGCTTACTCTGTGCAGGCACTGTTCTCAGTGCTATATGTATATATGTAGTGCAGTCCTCATAACAACCCTATGAGGTGGATACTATTAGAACTTCCATTTTACAGATCAGGAAACTGAGGCACAAGCAGTAAATGGTGGAGTGGGGCACAACCCTCAGGCAGTCTGGCTGAGCTCAGGGGAGTGACATGGTACCAGATATCCTAACACTCCGCCATGCAGGTACAGGGTTTGTTGTCCTTCTAAGAAGACCCTAGAGTAATGATGACAGGTTGGGAAACCTCTGCAGACACCCCTGTCTGTTCCGGGTGATGAGAGGGCCGCTCCTCCAGGCGATGTTTCCAGCAGCGCCAGCATCTTGCACACGCTGGCTTAGCCAGGTTCGCTGCCGTCATCAGCTCCAAGTGACCTGGACTCGGATCCCTTCTCTTAGGCTGACTCACTTTATGAGCTTTCCGGGCCTGGTCGGCCTTTGGAGTGGGAGTCAGTGGCCCAGTAACACGGTGATGAAGAGGGAGTATTAGAAAATGAGCAAATAGAGGAATGGATCCCAGGGGAATAGTTAAGAAATCAAAAGGTTCCCCGCAACTGGGAGACAGCCAGAGAGGAGAGTCTCTCTGTGTTTCACAGATCAGCAGAAGTCCAGCCAAAAGTGAGCAGAGAAGAGGCACCCACCCACGAGGTGTTCAGGGGGAGGGAGTTCTGGGACCCAGCTAAACCGTGAGGGACCCTCCCCCCCAACACCCACTGCCCTCCCTCTCAATCCCACCTCCCTCCCTATGTCCTCTCTCACCTACCTGCCACTCCCTTTTGATGGCCACTGGCCTCCTTTATTCTCTGCTTCTCTCTCTCTTTTTTTTTTTTTTTTTTTTTGAGATAAGAGCTTTGCTCTGTCACCCAGGCTGGAGTGCAGTGGTGTGATCTCGGCTCACTGCAACCTCTGCCTCCCAGGTTCAAGCGATTCTCCTGCCTCAGCCTCCTGAGTAGCTGGGACTACAGACGCAGGCCACCATGCCCAGCTAATTTTTGTATTTTTAGTAGAGATGGGGTTTCACCATGTTGGCCAGAATGGTCTTAATCTCCTGACCTCGTGATCCACCTGCCTCAGCCTCCCAAAGTGCTGGGATTACAGGCGTGAGCCACCGCTCCCGGCGTATTCTCTGCTTCTCTTGAGCACAGTGGGCCCTCGGGAGGGGATACATCAGTCCCCTACACCTTAATGAAGACTTTAGGCACTGTGCTCCCTTTACACATCCTCTGCAATGAAGTTGTCCTCTCCACAAATGCAACATACACAGTCCATCCTCATCATTCACAGACTCCATGTTTGCCAATTCATCTACTTGCAAAAATTCCTTTGTAGCCCCAAAATGAAATCTCGCAGCAGTTTTGTGGCCATTCACGGACCTGCTCAGAGTGGTGAAAAATTTGAGTCAAATAAGATAACACTCTGTCTCCTGGTTTCAGCTCTCAAACCGTAAACAAGTGTCCTTCTTGCAGTCTATTTGGTGCCACACTTATGCATTTTTGTGCTTTTTGTTGATGATTTCACTGTTTAAAATGCCCTCGAAGTGTAGTGCTGAAGTGCTGTCTAGTCTTCCTAAGTGATATTCTTTATGGAAAAAAATAGATGTGTTAGATAAGTTTCATTTAGGCATGAGTTATACAGTACCATTGGCATTGAGTTTAATGTCAATGAATCAACAATATATATTAAAATGTCTTTCAGCAGAAACACACATAACACAAGTTTATATATTAATCACTGGATGAAAATATTGTGACCAGAGGCTTAAAGGAACTTAACTCTGTATTTCTCCTAGGAGCAATGGGTCAGTATTCACTTATTCAGTGTTCACTGCAACTTTATAAGGCATAACTAGCATTAATAATGAGAATCAACTGCATGTGTATATTTGCATGTGTGTGCATGTGTTTGTGTGTATATGTGTATATGTATATACATACATATACATATATACATATACATGTATACATATATACATATATACATGTATACATGTATACATATATACATATACACATATATACATATACATATATACATACATACATATATACGTATACATACATACATATATACGTATACATACATATATACATATATACGTATATACACATATATGTATACATACACATATACGTATATACACATATATGTATACATACACATATATACGTATATATACGTATATATGTCTATATACGTATATATACATATAAAAGACACACATGCCCATCTTGTAAAGAGTCCTTAAATTTGCTTCCTGCCTTTGAAAGCTAAAATGCTGTGATTCTAGGCGTAAGCAGAGCTAACTGAAACAGTCATCCTGCTTCTCTGTGTAACCCAATGTTCACCTGTTGAAGGCAGGACCATCTAGATCATGAAGTCATTTTTCTTACAAGAACTTAAAGCTAAGACCTCTACCTGAGATCTTCCTCTGCCACCTCCTGCATCTTCACATCATCCTTGGTTCACTGGAAAGAGCCCTGGCCTGGTTTGGGAAATCTGGGTCATCCTGCTAGCCTCACACTCCCTGGGGCCAGCAGTAACCACCAGTGCCAGTCACTTAAACCTGTAAATGCAATTTTCCCTTATTTCATGATTTTCCTCACCCAATCACTTGGGAGAGCTAGTGAATAAAAGTGCATTAGAAAGTCTAAAGCTTCATAGAAATAGGAGATGGGGAGATAAGCAAAAGAGAGTATGGGCTTTGGGCTTAGACTGGCGCTGGGGAAAACCAACTGATGCTGGGGTTCTGAGCTTGGCTCAACTGTTTGCCAGCATTGTGACCTTCAGCAAATTTCTTAACTTCCCTGGGCCTCTGCTTCTCTGGGATAGCTCAGAGCAGATTACATGGATGAATAAGGAAAGAGAAGGAGGATAGTAACAATTCCCAAGTGCCCGTACACCACGATGAGTGCCTTGTGCATCTCCTCTAACCTTCAGAGGTATTTCAGAGGTATTTCTGATCCCTGTTTTATAGAGGTGCCAAGAGTCATTCTGCCCAAGGTCACAGGTAAGTGGTGAAGCAGAATTTGGACTGAGATTGACAGCCCTGTTCTGCTTGCTGCCAGGGACCCTCAGGAACACCCTGGTGTAATCATCTCTTCCCAGTACAAGGCAAGGAGCCAACTTAATTAGAGAGTTTATTTATAAAGAATTTCACAAGGCCCCACCCAAGAAACATGTCAGTACCTTTGAGACCAGCACTGACCTTTTGCATATGAACTGCTCTTGTGTTTTGGTCAACTGATCTCACACCAGGCCTGAAGCCAAAACCAAGAACATTCATTTCAAAAGAATGATTTAAACAAAAAGAAAGAAAGAATACCACCCTCTGGCACTGTGTTTTAAAGACAGTGTACACCATCTATAAGCCCCATTTTGTCAAGAGGGACAGAGGCCCAGGAACAGACTCATTTGGAAGAAATAAATTGTCTGTTCTTATGAGCACTGATGCAGAGGACCCCTCCATGAAAAACAAAGAATATCAATTTTTTTTAACTGACAGACATTGAAAAGCAATAAGATTTCCTTTTTTCTTTTCTCTGTTTTCCTGGTCATGTCTGTTGAGCCATCCTGACACTGCATCTAACAAAGGCCAGAGAATTCTTCCCCTTAAGAGACCCTCAGACAGAAGTGGGGCACACATCACCCGGTGGGGTGGGGAACATTATAATTTACCGCACTCCAATCACCAAAAGCTCCTTGCTGCTCCCCGGCATCAGACAGTCACATACAATTCACAAATTTGTAAATTTTTGAGGCTCCCAGCAGTCCTTTGAGGTGGATATTGCGTCATGATGTCATCATAATAGGTTTGTTTGCCCGATGCACAGTAAGTCAATAAACCAAGGCAACAGGGATTGCAGCAAAGAAAGAGTTTAATAATCATACGGCAGCCAAACAAGGAAACAGGAGGAAACCTCAAATCCACCCCTCCAGGGAGTTGGAGCTAGAGATTTCAAGGGGTTTGAAGTGGGCCAAGGTCCAGGATTATTGATTGGTCAAAGAGTGCAGAGTAAAGTCATGGGACAGGGAAATGAAGAAACTGCATTCTCGTGCTGATTCGATTCCTCTGTGGTTGTTTTCAAACTGGTTGGCATTAGCTTTCCTGCTGGAATTCAGGATCTGAAGAACATCTTAGGCAATTCTTAAACAAAAGCCTTATGAGTCCATGGTCACTGATCGTAGCTATAGGAACAATGGGGATATAAATCAATTCGTAAACAAAAACCTATGATTCTAAGGTTAGAAATCCTAGGTATAGGAACAATGAGGATGCAGATGGTCAGTATCTAGTGCTACCTGACTCTCAGTTACAAGGAAGTGGGCCAAAGTGTGGCCTGATTAGTGCTTAATAGAACTATATTTCTGCACAGGACCCAGGATGTAATTTTTGTTATCCCTGTGAGGACCGTTTCAATGATACTCATTTTACAGATGAGATAAGCAGAGATCAAAGAGGAGAAATGATTTGCACAGGGCTGCATATCACACGCACACGTTCTTCCCACTGATTCTGGCATCCATGCCAGGGGAGGTAAGACTCCAGAGAGTTCTGCCAGGCCTTTTGGAACACAGCCTATATGTCTGCTGAGGGCTTCTCTAGCCAAAACGCTCAGGCACAGCCCATTCTTACCATCAGCAGGCAGGAGAAGCATGATCCTAAAACCAGGGGAGGCCCCCTGCCCTACTGAGGCGTGGGGCACAGGGCAGTCTTCCAGCAAGCTTCCTGGAAGTGAAACCAGCCACATCTCTGGAATCTTGGAAATAGCTGTACCGGGGAGCAGTTGGCATCACTGCCGACAGGTGGCCATGGCAGGCTTGTTTTCCAGGAAGACCACAGATGATGCAGACAATGGGTTTGTTACATTTTGGGGTGTGTGTCTGTCCATGTGTTGGGGGTAGGGGAAGCAGCTTTCTAAAATACAAACATCTGCCTCCATTAAGCCTCCAGATCAATAGGACACTAGCGGCAGACCCTGATCTCTTGCTTGACTCTTGGTCTTCACCCCCAGGAGACCTCCATACCAATAGCTCTGTCCTCCAGGGGTGAAGCTGGAAGACAAAGGAGGCACTGTGATGGGCCAGTGAATGCTGCTCAGCCTTGTTCACGTCATGACACTCCTAGAAAAGAGTGGTAGCTATACAACTCAGCAGGTCGATGGAGGAGGCTGCTAACAGCTGAAGAGAAGGACCTAGAGGCCCCTGGCCACTCTAACAGATAATGGATCAGCAGCCAAGGGCACCGATTCAGATGATCTGGGCAATGGGCCCTGAAGTCAGACGGTCCTGAGCTCTTCGGTAGCCTTGCTGCTCAGTGTGCCCTATGGAAGTACTGGCAGCATCCGTATCACCTGGGAGCCCCTTAAAAATGCAGAACATAGGCTGGGCACAGTGGCTCACACCTGTAATCCCAGAAGTTTTCAGGAGGCTGAGATGGGAGAATCACTTGAGTCTAGGAGTTCAAGACCAACCTAAGCAGCATGGTGAGACCCACCCCCACCCCCAGCCCGTCTCTACAAAAATTAAATAAATAAATAAATAAAAATTAGCTGGTTGTGGTAGCATGTGCCTGTGGTCCCAGCTACTTGGGAGGCTGAGGTAGGGGGATCACTAGAGCCTGGGAAGTCGAGGCTGCAGTGAGCTGTGATCACACCACTGCACTCCAGCCTGGGCAACAGAGTGAGACCCGGTCTCAAAAAAAAAAAAAGGGAGAATGCAGACCTGTTTCCAGACCTGCCAACTCTGAATCTACATTTTAACAAAATGCACAGGTGATTTGCAGGCTGTTCTGCATAACCACTGGTTTTGACCAAGGGATGCAAACTCAGATGCCCAAGGGACCAGGCATTACCATGAGTCAGAAGCCCAGGCTGGGAGTTCGAGGCCATCCTGCAAGAGAAGTCACAACTTAGCCCCAGCCAGGGAAGCCTGATTTCCAGATTCTTTTATAACAATCAATTCTCAGGCCGGGTGTGGTAGCTCACGCCTATAATCCCAGCATTTTGGGAGGCCGAGATGGGTGGATCACAAGGTCAGGAGTTCAAGACCAGCCTGGCCAACATGGTGAAAACCCATCTCTACTAAAAATATAAAAATTATCCGGGTTTGGTGGTGCACGCCTGTAGTCCCAGCTACTTGGGAGACCAAGGCAGAAGAATTGCTTCAATTCTTCAGGAAGCGGAGGTTGCAGTGAGCTGTCATCACACCACCGCACTCCAACCTGGGCCACAGAGTGAGACTCTGTCTCAAAAAAAAAAAAAAAAAAAAAAGAAAGAAAGAAAGAAAAGAAAAGAAAAAGAAAAAGAAAAAAAGAATCAATTATCTGGGGTCTCCAATATCCAGACTCCTTATTTTTAAATATTGGCAACTAATTTAAAAATCTTTTGAAACACTGTATACGTCAAATAAAACAGCCACCCACTTAGGGTATCTTAGGGAGCCAGTTTAGTGCCTCCAGCTTCAGACAGAAGACACTGAATTTGGCCTTACCCTCTCTGTATAGGGGACCATTGAGCTTAATGGTTAAGGCCACAGGATGTACAAAGGACCTAAGAGTTTAAATCTGACTCAGCCAATTCCTAATTATATAACCTTGGGCGAGCACTTGACGTGCGATCTTTGTTTTTCTCACCTGTAAAATAGCCCCAGTTGGCCGGGAGCTACGGCTCATGCCTACTATAATCCCAGCACTTTGGGATGCCAAGGCGGGCCGATCACCTGAGGTCAGGAGTTCGAGACCAGCCTGGCCAACATGGCGAAACCCGTCTCTGCTAAAAACATAAAAATTAGCTGGGCGTGGTGGTGGGCGCCTGTAGTCTCAGCTGCTCAGGAAGCTGAAGCACAAGAATTATTTGAACCTGGGAGGCAGAGGTTGCAGTGAGCCGAGATTGCACCACTGCACTCCAGCCTGAGTGGCAGAGCGAGACTCAGTCTCAAAAAATAAAAACAAAACAGGGCCAGTAAATGTCCCTAGTGGAAAAGGGATTAACCTAAAGACTGATTGAGGTAACGCACTCTTAAAAAATTGTAGATACTTAAGAGATGTTGATTTGCTTCCTCTAGCGCCTGACTGTGCACACAGATCACCCAGGGGATCTTGTTAAAATGCAGGCTCTCATTCACTAGATCTGCAGTCCCGCCTGCCTGGGGTTCTGAATTTCTAACAAGCTCCCAGGTGATATCAATGCTGCTAGACCATGATCTAGGCAAGGGTCATCAAAGTTTTCTGCACAGAGCCAGATGCTACCTATTTGAGGCTTTGCAGGGCACATGGTCTCTGCTGAAGCTACTCAGTCAGCTCTTGTAGTGGGAAAGCAACCACAGACAATACGTAAATGAATGGGCAGTGCTATCTTCCACTGGAACTCTACTCATGGACACTGAAATTTGAATTTCATATCATGTTCCCACTTCGAATAATATTGTTCTTTGATTTTTTTTCCCGACTACAGTAGCTCCCCCTTATTGGCAAAGGATACATTCCAAGACTCCCGGTGGAAGCCTGAAACCATGAACAGTACCAAACCCTACATTTACTGGGTTTTCCTATACATACACAACTGTGATATAGTTTAATTTATAAATTTAGGCACAGTAAGAGAGAAATAATAATAAATAATAATAAAATCAGACAATTATAGCAATCTACTGTCACAGAAGTCATGTGAATGTGGTCTCTCCCTCTCAATATGTCCTGCTGTATAGTACTCACCTATTTTTGGGCCATGGTTGACTGCAAGTAACTGAAACCACAGAAGGTGAAACCATGGATAAGGGGAGACTGCTGTTTAAAATTTTGAAAACTCTTCTTAACCCATGGGCTGTACAAAAACGGGTGGTGCGCTGGCTTTGGCCCTCAGGCCATAGTTTGTTGACGCATGATCTAGGTCATCTTCAACTCTGAGCCTGGCCATCTCCCTCCCCAACCAGGCTGTAAGCTCTGTGGACGCACAAGCTGTACCCAGTGACCTCAGCTCCCCTCCCCGCCTAGGCCAGGGCCCTGGACAGCGGAAAGCCCTGTCCTTTGCCCTACACAATGAGCAGAAGCCTGGGAAGAGAAAGTGTTGCCTTTCAAGGCTGACACTTCTCTGGTGCCTCCCTTCCCCTCCATTCAATTTCACGGTCACACTGTAACTCTATAAACATGTGGTTTATATGACTCAAAAGAATCAGTGACCCGGGAGCTCAATAACAACAGAAGGAGTTTTCATTTATTAAGGGAAAGAGCTAAGAAAAGGAACCAGCACTGATAAGCAGGATAATTAGACAGTTCCCCAAACAGTCCATCAAACCCTGTTGTTCCCATCACCTTCCCACCACCCCTTCTGGCCCCTGGCAGCAAGTGACCCAAGCGGCTGGGGCAAGGACACCTTTGAGCTCTGAGTCCTGATCTTCAGAAGGGTTGGAGGAGGGGCAAAGGCTTTTGAGAATTTGAGACTAATGGCTTGCCATGGTCTGAATGTTGGTGTCTTCCTAAACATATTATTAGGTTCATATGTTGGAACCTAATACCCAATGTGATAGTATTAAGAGGTGGTTCCTCTGGGAAGTGATTAAGTCATGAGGACTCTGCCCACGTGAATAGGATCAGTGCCCTTACGTAGGAGGTGTGAGGGAGCTCCCTTGCCCCTTCCGCTGTGTGAGAATGCAGCAAAAGTCACCATCTATAAAGCCCTCATCAGACACTGATCTGCTGACACCTAGATCTTGGACTTCCCAGCCTGCAGAGCTGTCAGCAATAAATTTCTGAATTATCCAGTCTAAGATATTTTGTTATGGCAGCCCAGACAGACTAAGACATGGCTCTTACATTCATTCAACAAATACTGATGGATTTGGTGCCAAGCTGTTTGGAGTTAAGGAGTCAATAAATGTTCATTGAATATATTGGCAAACATTTCATGAACATTTGTTATATTTAATCAATGGGTTAGATGCTGGGATGACACACTCATGGTTAAGATTCAGAGATGAAAAAGACATAGCTCCTGTATAAAGGGAATTTACACATATGAAACATAGTCACAGGCTAGACAACAGTCTAGCGCAGGGCTTGGCAAACTACCACCCACAGGCCAAATCTAGCCCCACAACCTGATTTTGTTAATAAAGTTTTATTATAACATGGCCCTGCTTATTTGTGCACATAATGTCTGTGGCTACTTTCACACTACAAAATCAGAGTTCAATAGTTTTTATGTCCTACAAAGCCTAAAATATTTACCACTGGACTCTTTACAGGAAACGTTTGCCAATCTCTGGCCTAACACAATGCTTTTCCAAAAATGTGTACAATAAACCCCAATGAGGAATACATTTTGTCTTGCCACCTGATTGCTAGATACTGTATATTGACCAAGATAAGTTTTACAGAATAATACTTGCCCTTACTATGTTCAAGGAATTGTGATATCTTCAGTTCTAGTGTATTTTATTTTTTAAAATGTTGGTTGTGATCCATTAAGTTGATTTGATGACCAATTTCAAACTCACAGTTTGAAAAATATTGGCTTGACTAGGGTCAGTGGCTCATGCCTGTAATCCCAACACTTTGGGAGGCAGAGGCAGGTGGATAGCTTGAGTCCAGGAGTTCAAGACCAACCTGGGCTACATGGCAAAACCCATCTTTACTAAAAATAAAAATAAAAAAATGCCAGGTGTGGTGGTGCACACCTGTTGTCCTGGATACCTGGGAGGCTGAGGTGGGAGGATCACCTGAATATGGGAGATTGAGGCTGCAGGGAGCCATGATCATGCCACTGCACTCCAGCCTAGGCCCCAGAGTAAGACCCTGTCAGAAAGAGAGAGGGAGAGAGAGAGAAAGCAAGAAAGAAAGAAAAGAAAGAAAGAAAAAGAAAGAGAGAGAAAGAAAGAAAGAGAAAGAAAGAAAAGAAAAGGAAAGAAAGAAAATACTGGCTTACTAGAAAGCAAATCATCTTCATTCATTCGTGTATTGAAGAAGTATTTATAGCATCCAGGCACTTTGTACATGCCAGGCACTATTCTAGGCACTGGAGATGCAATATCAAACACAATCAAGTCCCTGCCCCATGCAGCTTACATGCTATGGAGGGAAGCAGATGAAGAAAAGAATAAACAAATAAATCTTCCATATATCAGGAGATGAGAAGGGCTCTGAAAAAGAAAGACACCAAGTAAGAGGCAGAGTGTGACGAATGTGATCAGAGAAGCCTTTCTGTGAGGTGCCATGTAAAGGAAGGAGAGAGTGAGTCATGTGGACATGTGGAGGAAGGGCATGACAGCAGAAGGAACAGCACAGACGAAGGCCCTGGGGCAGGAACAGGGAGGTCAAGGAACAGGGAGGAGGCCAATGGAGCAGGAGTGAGTGCTTGAGGTAAAAAGTGGTAGGAAATAAGCTCCCAGAGTGAGGACAGGTGGTGGAGGAAGATCATGTAGACAATGTACTGTGATCAAGGCAGAATGAATAAACTCTAAAGCAGAAATATAAGCCAAGAGCTGAGAATCCAGTTAGAGTCATGATGGAGGACAAATCTCCAATGATATTTTCATTTATCAAAAAAACATGTAAGTGTGTGTAGACGCTGTACTTAGACAACCACAACAGTGTGAGGATCCAAAGATGAATGGACATTGGGCCTCCCAAGGGGGTCCCTTTCTAGCAGGAATCTAGCCATGCAAGCAAATGATTACATTGTCATAGCAGGAAATGTCATGGGCAACAGGAGCCCCTTCGAGGGGGTCCCAGGGAAGACTTCCATAAAGGTGGGAAACTTCAGCTGTGTCTCCAAAGATAAGGAGACATCGCAGGTAGAAAAAGCAGAGCAAACTGTCCAACACAGCAGGACCTACACACAAAAGCATAAAGGCCCAAGCAAGCTGCTCAGAATGGGGGGAAGCAGCGATGCTTAACCCTGGCAGTGCATTCGAAGCACCCGGGAAGCTTGTAAATTCCACTTCTGCCCAGGGCCTAATCCCAGGGACTCTAATGTGATTGACTGGAGTAAGGCCCAGATGCTGGCATTGTATTATCCCCTGGTGATGCTAATGTGAAGCCAGTGTGGACAAGCCCTGGGCTGGAGTGAGGCCAGGAAGAGAAAGTGAGACTGGGGCCAGATCATGAGAGTGTTTCATGCTACACTCTAGAATACAGGCTTTATCTTCTTGGTGAGAGAGACCCACTGGTGGGTTTCAAGCAAAGAATAGGCATGGTCAGATTCATAAGGGAAAAAAGGCGTCCTGGCAGTGGTGTGAAGAGAAGAGAGGGGTGGGGGTTGGAAGCGGGGGATTAGGGCCCCATTAGGAAGAAACTGCGGCAGTTCAGAGAAGAGATGATAAGGGTTTGTACCCAGGCAGGAAGCAAGGCCGTGAGGAATGAGATAAGGATGCAGTCGAGTGATATGAAAAACGGCAGACTTGAATGAATTTGGGAACTGACTGTGCCAGGCGGGAAAAGAACTCAAGATTATCACGATTCCATTACTGAAGTGTACAATCAAGAAAAAATGGCTTGAAGGGGAAAGAGAATGGGTTCAGGTTTTAACATTTTGAATTTGAAATACCTTACGGAAAATAGTCACCATCATAAACCGTGTATTTATTGACCGCATACTAGGTGCCAGGCCCTGTGCTTCGTAGTTCATGTGCGTTTTCCTACTCAGTTGTCACAGCAGCTCTCTGGGGTAGGTAATCTGATTAAACCCATTTACAGAAGGGAAAACTGAAGCTCAGACAAGCGAAGCCAGTGGGAAGAATGGTGAATTACATCCATTATGGTGTGCACGGGATACTCGGCACAGAGCTTGGCACATGGTGAATGCTCAGAGAATGGCCATACTATTAATAGTTATTATCTCTTCCCCACTGTGGGAAGACCTCAAGCCAGGTCTGCGAGAGAGGGAATCAGGAATACTTGGGAGCCCTGTGGATATGTGGGTGCCTCAGAGTGTCTATATGTCGATAGAACCATACTCAGGCCATTGCTTCATTTTATTTCCGGCTTCCTAATGAGGGCATCTCAAATACTCTTGATATTACCCCCTCACCAGCCCTATCCCACGACCGCTCATCATTATTTTATTTTTTTAAATTTCTTCCTACAAAGTTAATCTCAATGTACTCACATCTGTTCTGTTCTGTGAGGGAAATTGTGTTGTTGGCCACGCAGCCGGAATAGGTTTGTTTTTTTTTGTTTGTTTTGTTTTGTTTTTTGTCTTGAGGAAAGAAGGGGAACTTTATTTATTTTTTAATATAGCTCCTCTTGCCTGGTCCCATGCCAAATAAACAAAGCTGCTATTCATTTCCGTATCTCCCCATCTCTACCGTGCCCAGAGTCATTTTAGCAGCAGCGCCTCTTGGGCTGCCTCTCCGAGAGCCTGGAACAGCAAATAAGAATGTCCTAAAAGTGAGTGCTGTGAAAATAGAATCCTATTTAATGAGACCGCAGAGAGCAAGACCGTTGCTCTCTTGGTGAGTGGAGGAGCAAACATTATGTTTAAAGTTGTGGTCGGAAAATGCTGGATCCTCAAATGTGGCCTCAGCTAAAAGCATCAGCCAGTGCATCGCAGGTCATGACTCAGGGGCAGGTAGCTGAGGCAGCTGCAGGAAGAACTTAGAACCAGGCTGCCGCCCTCTGGAAGACCCCCACCCCCATGCTTGGGGAACCCCCACCCACTCCCTCGCCAGAACACGTCTGTCATGGTCCTTCTCTTCTTGCCACCGCATCTCAATATCAAAGCTGACTCGACTTGTGTCCCATTCATGGAATCACAAGTATTGGGGTTAAAGAGGACTTCCAAAGATGTGGCGTCCAACCTTCCACCCAATGCTTCCTCAACAGTGACCTGGCTTTGCTCTTTTGACTTTGAGCCCTTTGTCCAATGAACAATGAAAACACTTAGTATATTAAACAGATCCTAGTGGAGCTGTTCTGAATGAAAAAAGAAAAGAGATCTAGAGACCCACCCAGCCGGGCTCCCGGCATGGCGCCATTCCCTCCATAGAATTCAGTTTGAAAACCACCCGCTTAGGTCAAAAGAGGGCCTAGGTACCAGGGTCAGCATCCCTTTATTCATTCAGTAAATTGTTCCTAAACACCTGCTAGTGTGCAAGGAGCAGGGAATACATTTGCGAGTTTAAAAGACCAAGTCCCTACTCTCATAGAGCCCATATTTTGCTTATTATTTTGGAGGGTATAGAAAACTATTAATACAAAATAATTTCAGACAGTGCTAAGTGCGAGGAAAAACACAAAACAGAGTAATGCAATAGCATATGACTGGGAGTAACAGATGGGCTGCTTTAGATGGGATGATCCATCAGCTATTCAGATCATGAGAAGGCGCTGCCTAGCTATGGGACTGGCTGCAGCGAGAGCTTTGCAGGCAGAGGGAGTACCAAGGGCAAAGTCCCTGAGGCAACACTGAGCTTGGTGAGTTCTAGGAAGTAAAAGAGAGAGGGAGGGGGCAAGTGGTAGGAGATGAGGTCAGAGAAACCAGCAAGGCTAAACCACATTAGCCCCTGTAGGTGCATGTTATGAAACACTAGCAAGCGTGGGTTGTGTTCAGGTGCTGTTGGCATCGAACACGATGGTGATTTTTTTTAAAGAGATGGAGTCTGTCTCTGGTGCCCAGGCTGGAGTACAGTGACGTGATCATAGCTCACTGTAGCCTCAAACTCCTAGGCTCAAGCCATCCTCCCACCTCAGCCACCCAAGTAGCTGGGACTACTGGCGTGCACCACCAAACATGGCTACTTTTTTTATTTTGTTAGAGACAGGGTCTCACTATGTTGTCCAGGGTGATCTTACACTCCTGGCCTCAGGCGATCCTCCTGCTCAGCCTCCCGAGTGGCTGGGATTGTGGGTGTGAGCCACTGTACCCGGCTCACGATGGTGGTTTTATTTCCTGCCAAAATAATGAAATTTGGACACTTTCACTTCTTTCCTCATCAAGGAAAGGGCCCTGAGAGGGAGATGAGAGTCCTAACTTAAAAATAAAAAAACCCCAGCCAAGCTCAGTGGCTCATGCCTGTAATCCCAGCATTTTGAGGGGCCGAGGCGGGAGGATTGCCTGAGCTCAGGAGTTCGAGACCAGTCTGGGCAACATAGTGAAACCCCGTCTCTACTAAAATAAAAAAAAAAAAAAAATTAGCCGGGCGTGGCAGCGGGCACCCGTAATCCCAGCTACTCGGGAGGCTGAGGCAGGAGAATCACTTGAACCTGGGAGGCGGAGGATGCAGTGAGCCGAGATCACACCACTGCACTCCAGCCTGGGCGACACAGCGAGACTCTGTCTCCCAAAAAAAAAAAAAAAAAAAAACCCCTTCCTTCCCCTGTGAGTTTTCCTTTCCTTTTCCTTTCCAGTTGTACCACCAAAACAGAGTGACTTCCTCTCGGGGGCTGCTGTGTCCTCTTTCAAAACATGAGTGAACTGGGCCACTCAAAACTCTCCTTTTGCATGAAATCCTACAGGAAACTTGAAATCATGGATAAAAGTAGCATTAGATTAGCTGTAATTTTATTCAATAACTTTTCATTTACAACATGTATGATAGAGTTCATCAAGAGAACAATAAGGCCCTTTTGATGAACTCAGTCCTATATTAGCCTCAGCACCCAACTTCCCTTTCTATTTTGTGTCCTTGAATAGCATAGTGTTGACAAAATCACCAGTATTTTACCGGCTTTCTCTGCAATCTCCAAATAAACCAAGATGGAAGGAGAGGCCTTATTCTGAGGATTGCACCAGAAAAGGTCACCCAGGCAGCTCATGTGTGTGGAACATTTGAGTGTCCTTTTTGGATGCTTTAAAGTCAAGCTTTTAAATATTTTATTTTAACAAAATGACAATCAAGCCATTTGTGCAACATGTCATATCCTTACCTGGAATACTGAAAACAGTCATAAACTGTCTTCCAGCCAGTGGTGTGCTGGCAAACTGGCTCTCTGGGGAAAACAGGGGGGAACCCTAATATGTTGTGTTTGCCAGTTTCTGGGGTATAAATATTTCCACCACAAATGATTTCAACCTAACAATGATCTAATAACTGGCTGACAAGATGTCTAAATATTTAACAATCACCTCTTATAAGCAAGTCTGAGCCAGCTCCGGGACACCATTGCTTCCAGCCCTTATCCATGGTTGGTGTTCTTGAGTCGAGCCCCCTCGAATGCTATCATCTGAAAACAAACACCCGCAGTGGCAACGCAAGGCCCTGATAACTTTGGCTGGAGCCAAGGAGGGCCAGTGAGAGTGAGATGGGGAACAGAGGAGTGGAAGACACGAGCTGGAGTTGCTGAAGTCCTGGGGCTGGTGTATTGTCAGAAATGGCCAGAGAGCCAGATATAGTGGCTCCCATCTATAATTCTGACACTTTGGGAGACTGAGGCAGGAGGATTGCTTGAGCCCAGGGGGTCAAGGCTGCGGTGAGCTATCATTGCACCATTGTACTCCAGCCTGGGTGACAAAGTGAGATGCTGTGTCAGAAGGAAAAAAAGAGAGAGAGAAGAGAAGAGAAGGAAGGAAAGAGAAGGAGAGAGAAAAAAGAAAGAAGGAAGGGAGGAAAGAGAAAGGGAGGGAGGAAGGAAGGAAGAAAAGGAAGGGAGGGAAGGAGAAAGAAGGAAGGAAGGGAGGAAAGGAAGGAGGGAAGGAAGGAAGGAAGAAGGAAGGAAAGACAGGAGGGAGGGAGGGAAGGAAGGAAAGATGGGAGGGAGGGTGGAAGGGAAGTAAGGGAAGGAAGGAAGGAAGGGAGGGACGGAAGGAAGGGAAGGGAGTAAGGGAGGGAAGGAAGGAAGGAGGGAGGGAGGGAGGGGGGAAGGAAGGAAGGAAAGGAAGGAAGGAGCCAGAATCTGACTCCAGGGGCAGAAATGGTAACTCCTCTTTAAGCCAAGCTCTCCCAAACCTACCTGTACTTTATACACCTCAGATCACGTCATAGCCTACCTTCCCCTTGAGAATCATACTTCAAGACCCAACTTAAGTACCTTCCCCGCTTAAAGCCTCCTCTGCTTGCCCAAGCATGATGCGATTCATGCCCTCCTGTGAGCGAGCTCTGGGCCTAGCACAGCCCCATCTTACTGCACCATCTCACCATCTGCAGTTTCCTCTTCTGGGCTAGACCTTAAGGGCAGAAACCACAACTGGAGCGCCAACACCGAGCACACAGCCTGATACTCTCATTAGTTTACTCAACAAATACCAACTAAACCCCTACCCAGTGCCAGGCAGTGTTCTGGGCACTGAGGATGCAGTGGTGAACAAAACAAAGCTGATGCCTTCATGAAGGGTTTGATTCTAGAAGACACTCAATAGATAAGACTCTCGAAGTCAGTCCCCTGCAGTTGCTGTTCTTAGGAAGGCTGGCAGAGAAGAACTTTCATTCATTTTATTTTAACCCTAGCTAGAACCCACACATAAACAGTGCCACCTTTCATAGTCTTTTGGTTTTATTTTTTAATTATGACTTTGGGAGAAGGACTTGAAGGTGTATTAAGGTACCATCGCCATAGGTCAAGGGTTGTGGGAGGAGGTTGCTTGTTACATATTTATCCACTATAACCCATTAATAGCTTAGGCTGAGTTGCTTCACAGGTTAGGAAGCCCTGGCCAAAATGATAGATGGAGTGAGCTTAACATGCCTGGAGATAGGATGAGCAAAAGGCCTGAGGCTTTGCCCCTGGTGGCCAGGGTGCCACATAAATCCAAGCTCCTGGAATGGGTAGAGTGAGGCAGATCCTGACCTCCCAGAGCAACCCAGGGCCAGCCACTCCCGCTGCCTACTGGTTGTTCTGGGCACTGGGGATGGAAAGGAAGAAGACAAAGTCAAAGGAGGAGAGAAATGGAGAAGAAAGGAGGATGAGAAGGGGAGGGGGGATGCTCTGGGGAAGTTTGCTCCTTCTCAGACTTAAAACTCTAGGAGAGCCTGAAAGGCCTTCCTCAGACTGCCTCCTGTAGCACCAAAAGCCCTAAAGATGGAGTGGACTGTGGTCATGATTTAGGACACCCTACAGGTCACCCATTCTGTTATTTAGCCAACATTTTAGAAACACACACACACACAATTCCCTCTTGCTCTGCTTAAATATATTTTTAAATGGTGTTTTGTATCACTACCATAGATTATGAGTTTTATGGGCCAGATAATTTTTCCTAATACACCTTGAAATAAATATCTAACTGTTAAAATTATCCATGTTCATTTGTGTCCCCCCTAAATCATCCTGTGGGCCACCAGTGTCACGCATTGTGGGTCACTGGTAGAGAGAAGTCAGCATCCCAGTGCTGAGCAGGCTTGAAGCCAGTGTTGGTCTTTGGCTCATGGGTAAGTAACCCTATCCAAGCTACCTGCTCCTCCCTGTGTGCCTCAGCTGCAAAATGAGAGGGTTGACCAGATGCCAACTCACGTCCCTTCACACTGAGATTCTAAGCTGTTTTTTCTATAAGGGTAGAGTTGCTAAATGCGGCATACTCAGAGCACACTTCTCAGCACCCCACCCTCTCCCTCCCTCCTGAGACTCCTCCCCCGACCCTACTACACCCCCTTTCCCTACTCCCAGATCTACCTGGGAGAGAAACATGCACAGCTTCAACTCCAAAATTAAAATTCAATGTTTTAATCAGAAAACAAAAACCTCCAATTCTTCCTAACCTCAGCACAACGCTCTAGACCCTTTAACTTTGGTAAAGTGAGTCACATCCCCATCTGCATAAAAAAATCTTTACTGCTTTTGGGAAATGTTTACAATGGCCTTTAATTTCCCAGTATTTCACAAGGGAGCCAGACAGACAAGGAGTCTAGCCATCCCCTGGCGGGACCCCACGCTCAGCATCCTCCTCCACTGTCTGTCTTTTGGATATAGACAAACCCCTCCCAAGTCCTGCAGGACAGTCAGCAGGCTTTCCAGTCCTCCCTAGAAGGCAGTGTGTGTGGAGGGAGGTTGGTTAAATACCATGTTTAATCGACCTCGGAAGCTATGCATGAGCAAGATAAGTCCAGCCATTGTGGCACCTAACACACCCTCAGCATGGCCCGTACTAAAAACACTTTTCAGAGGACTGGGAGAGGGGTGTCCATGCCCAGAAAACGTAAGCCATCGGGGCCAGAAAAATGAGGACAATAGCTTTAATGCTATTAATGTATCCTGGACTTTACAAAATCTCTAGATACCTTTTTGATAAAGGTGCTTACGGTTAATGACAAACAGCTAACATTCGTTGCTTTGTGCCTGGCACTGTTCAAATCATTGGGCCAGTTTACTTCTAAATCTTCACAGTAACTCTGTGAAGCAGGTACTATTACAAACCCCATTTTACGGATGAGAAAATTAAGGTTTAGAGAAGTTAAGAAATGTCCCAAGGTCACATAGTTAGGAAGTAGTAAAGCCTGACTCCCAAACCATGCTCAAAGCCATACCTTCCATTTGTGGAGTATTTCGTATTTTTAAAACTCTTATGCATGCAATAATAACCATCACCTAGAAGAAATAGATAGATTTTATATATATATATATATAGAGAGAGAGAGAGAGAGAGAGAGAGAGAGAGAGATTGATTGATTTTAGATAGATATAGATAGATGATACATTTTAGATACAGATAGATTTTAGATCAATTGATAGATTTTAGATAGATAGAGAAGATAGATAGATAGATAGATAGATAGATAGATAGATAGATAGATAGATTTTGGATGGAGATAGATAGATTTTAGATAGGTATAGATGGATAGATAGATATATTTTGGATGGATAGAGATAGATAGATAGATTTTATATAGATAGGTGTAGATAGATAGATAGATAGATAGATAGATAGATAGATAGATAGATTTTGGATGCATAGAGATAGATAGAAAGAAAGAATTAGGTAGATAGAATTTCTAATCCTCCCAACTCTCTGAGGGTGAGTATAAATATTATCATCTCCATTTTACACATGAGGAAATTGAACCCCAGAAAGACTTAAGAACTCATTCCAAATCATGGCATTTGTAAGTCCCTAAGCTAGGATGTGAATCTAGACCATCCTGACCCCGTCATCTATATACTTGCATTGTGCTGCCTGCAAAATTTCTTCTGATTCCTCTAACAACTTTGTGACTTGCATGGGAAGAATGTGTGTCATAGTGCAGCCTAAACACCCATCAAATGGAATTCTACAAACCCAGCCTGATTGATTAGCTTCAGGAGGCCCCTCAGTATTCAGGCAATACAAAGTAATACATCCCCTAGGACACTCTCCGGTTGTGTCTTTCAAAGTCTTTGCAAACTAGCTATTTTCTACCAATTTGTTACCAACCTAGCTAGCTAGGTATCCACCTATCTGTCTGCTACAGATATGTTAAAATATGTTATATGCTAAAGTCCTACCCCCCAAGGTGATGGAATTAGGAGGTGGAGCCTTCGGGAGGTCATGAGGGCAGATCCCTGAGGAATGGGATTAGTGTCTTTCTAAAATAGGCCCTGGGAGCTTGTTTGTCCCTTCCATCCTGTGAGGTTACAGGAATAAATCAGGGCCTCACCAGACACTGAATCCACCTTGACCTTGGACTTCCCAGCCTCCAGAACAGTAAGAAATACGTTTCTGTCCTTTATAAGCCACCCAGTTTATGGTATTTTGTTAGAGCAACCCCAATGGACCCAAGACACTATCTGCTTATTTGTTTTCCATTTCCCTGACTAGAATATACCTGTCTTATTTATGACTGTATTCCCAATGCCTAGCACAGTACCCTCAATAAATATTTGTAGACTAAATACAAAGCCCTGTGGAAGTCCAGAGGAGGAAAGAGAAATTCCTAGGAGCTGGAGGAGGAACTGAGTTTTAGGGTTTTGAGGAATGAGTAGGAATTAGGTAGAGGAGCAAGGAGAGCATTCCAGGAAGGAAACAAGAGCAAAGGTACAGGGAGCCCAGGCTGGTGTCATTCAGGACCTCCCAGAGGCACAGCTCTCCACAGCAGCTAGGAGCAAAGGTCTGGCTGTGCTTTTGCCTGTCAACTCCAGGAAGATTCTAACAGCCTTGCCTGTCCCGTGAGGAGCTTTAATCATCCAGAGGACTTTATGCAGCTGTGACCGTCCGGTCCCTTCTGAAACTGGGGATCATCCTCATTAGCAAGCTTCCCCCTCCAAACAACACTGATGCATAAAATGGCCATGGCTCTGGCCCAAATCAGGGTTGGCAAGAGAAGGAGGAGGGAGGCAGGGAACCTATACCCGCAAGGAGTTCAATAAACCTCCTCTTCCTGGGGTTTCATCAGCTTGGGAGTATAGGAAAGTAAAAACAGCAGACTCTGGGCCCAGACAATCTTCCCACTTCCTGGCTGTGTGACCTCGGGCTGGTCACGTGCTGCCTCTGAGGCTCGTCAACCCCATCTGGGGATATGTGGATGATAATCCCTACTTCCATGACTTCAAGATTGGTATCCACTGTCCAAAGTAGCCACCCTCTCCCCGACCACACAGTAGACCATGCCAGCTCCACATGTGAAATGTATCAGTCCATCCCAATTTTTTAGCTAATGTTCTGAGGCCCAATACATAACCCTTTTCTTCCCCTTCCATATTAAGGACCAATTGAGAATTTGCAGAAAACCATTGCCATAAGCTCCATGGAGGCGGGAATCTTAATCTCTTTTGGCTCTGTGTTCTATTTCCACCACCTAGCAGAGTACCTGGCATACAGCAGTCCCTTAATACATTTTTGGTGAAGGAAGGAAGGAAGGAAGGAAAGAAGGGAGGGAGGGAGGGAGGGAGGGAGGGAGGGAGGATCTCCGTCATCGTTCTATTGCACCTGCCCTAGAACACTCAACCTTGAATCAATCCACCGATGGGCCTTCTCCTTTCCTAAACTGACACTGCTGAGCACAGTTGGAGAAAACCTCATCACTGATCTCATGCTCCTACTACAAATGCCTCATCTCCAACCCCAGCAGGGCCCTAGTGGGTCCTGGTGAAGCTTTTACATCTCCCTAGTCAGTTACCTTTCCCAGTCTCACTGTGGCATTTCCAGAACTTTGCTGCTCTCTTCAAGCCCCACGTCCTTCCCATCAAAGAAGAGAATCCATTCCCCTGTATCAAAGTTCATCTTCCTGCACCTCTGCCTGCCCCCACACCTTCTTTCCCATCTCAGTGGAGTCTTTTCTCCTTTGTAGATTTCATTTTACCTCTGAGTTCTGGCTCTCATTTCCATCATAGCCTCTAGGACTTGGCTACCTGTCCGTTTCTTCTCACTCCTGGCGCTCAATGTTGCTTTCTGAAGGGCATCTTTCAACACTAAAGAATGTTCAAGTCTCATTTAGATTTGAAAAGAATAAATAAGTCTTTGCTGAGCCCTTGTACCCCTTTACCTACCTTCTCAGCCAAGTTTCTTAAAAAGGAGCCTGTAGTTGTCTCCATTCTCTCCAGCTCCCTGAATCAGCTCCCACCACTCCACAAAGTTTGGTCTGGCAAAGATAATTCATGACCTCCAAATAGAAAATCCTGATAAAGTCTTCAGCCCCTTGTTTTGCTTGCTCTCCTCCGGGTTGTGTCACTGTTGTACCCATCTCTTAACACACAAACTTTACGTCACTTTCAGGGACACCATGCTGGCTGCCTTTCCTCCTTTGTCTCCAGCCAGGCTTTCCCAGGCTCCTTTGCAAGCTCCTCTTCCACCCTTCCCTTGAGCATCCATGTGCCCTACGGTTCTGACCTTGCCCCCTCTCTCTTTCTCACTGTCCACAGATCCCTCCATCTTGCACTGTCCAGTTTGGTAGCCATCAGCCACGTGCACCTACTGAGTGCTTGACACATGCCTCTATTGAGATAGGCTGAGTATAAAATACACACCCAATTCCAAGACTAGAGTTACAAAAAAGAGAACATAAAATATCTCAATCATAATTTTTATATAGATTACACATTGAAATGAGAACTTTTTTTATATCGGGTTAAACAAAATACCCTGGCCAGGTGCAGTGGCTCACACCTGTAATCCCAGTGCTTTAGGAGACCCAAGCAGGAGGATCACTTTAGGTCAGGAGATTGAGACCAGCCTCAGCAACATAGCAAGACCCCATCTCTAAAAAAATAAAATAGGCTGGGCGCGGTGGCTTATGCCTGTAATCCTAGCACTTTGGGAGGCCGAGGCGGGCAGATCACCAGGTCAGGAGTTCGAGACCATCCTGGTTAACATGATGAAACGCTATCTCCACTAGAAATACAAAAAATTAGCTGGGCGTGGTGGTGGGTGCCTGTAGTCGCAGCTACTCGGGGGGGCTGAGGCAAGAGAATGGTGTGAACCTGGGAGGCGGAGCTTGCAGTGAGCCGAGATCGTGCCACTGCACTCCAGCCTGGGGGACAGAGCGAGTAAAAAAAAATTAAATAAATAAATAAATATATAATAAAATTAAATTAAATTAAAAATTAGCCAGGCACGGTGGTGCATGCCTGTAGTCCTAGCTACTCGGGAGGCTGTAGCAGGAGGATTGCTTGAGCCCAGGAGTTCCAGGCTGCAGTGAGCTAGGATCGCACCACTGAATTCCAGCCTGGGCACAGGGCATGATTCGGTCTCCTATATATACTTATATATTTATATATATTTTTATGTATGAATTTATATTTTTTATATATGTATATACGTAAACTATTTTATATGTATATGTGTGTGTATATATATGTACATACATACATACACTATTAAAATTATGTTCACCTATTTCTTTTTACTTTTTTTAATGTGGCTAATAGAAAACTTGTAATTATACATGTGACTCTCACTGGAGTTCCAGAGACAACAATGCTTTAGACAATCCCATCCACTCCCATGGTTTCACCTGCATCATTGTGTCACCCAAAGCAACTCAGCATAGTGATAAGCAGTTGTGGTCCAGGAGCACTGTTTAGGTGCAGTCCGAGAGCACTGTTTGGGTGCAGTCCGAGAGCACTGTTTGGGTGCAGCCCAGGAGCACTGTTTGGGTGCAGTCCGGGAGCACTGTCTGGGTGCAGTCCGGGAGCACTGTTTGTGTACAGTCAGGGAGCACTGTTTGGGTGCAGTCTGAGATCACTGTTTGGGTGCAGTCCGGGAGCACTGTTTGGGTGCAGTCCGGGAGCACTGTTTGGGTGCAGTCCAGGAGCACTGTTTGGGTGCAGTCCAGGAGCACTGTTTGGGTACAATCCGGGAGCACTGTTTGGGTGTAATCCGGGAGCACTGTTAGGGTGCAGTCCGGGAGCGCTGTTAGGGTGCAGTCCGGGAGCACTGTTTGGGTGTAGTCCGGGAGCACTGTTTGGGTACAATGCGGGAGCACTGTTTGGGTGCAGCCCAGGAGCACTGTTTGGGTACAATGCGGGAGCACTGGGTGCAGCCCAGGAGCACTGTTTGGGTGCAGTCCGGGAGCACTGTTTGGGTGCAGTCCGAGAGCACTCTTTGGGTGCAGTCTGGGAGCACTGTTTGTGTACAGTCCGGGAGCACCGTTTGGGTGCATTCTGGGAGTACTGCTTGGGTGTAGTCCGGGAGCACTGTTTGGGTGCAGTCTGGGACACTGTTTGTGTACAGTCCGGGAGCATTGTTTGGGTGCAGTCTGGGAGTACTGCTTGTGTTTGAATCACAGCTCTGTCATTTACTAGCCGTGTGACCTTGGGAAAGTTACTTAGAACAATGCCTGGCATATGAAAAGCATTCAATAAAGGCTGGCCATGGTTACAGAGAAGCAGCCTTGGTTTATGGCTGGGAGCTGCGAAGCCAGATTCCCAGTAGGCATCCTTCTCCTTTGCTCACCAGCTATGTGACCTGGAAGAAGTGACTCAACCCTCCCGGGGCCTCTTCATCTGTAGCAGGGCAGGACTCCCAGTATGAAAGACGTGCAGTCATGGCCGGCAAATGGTTCTATCATTTGGCTCCCCTTTGGGCCCTCACAGCCACTCCATGATTGAGTCCTGTGTTCCCAGCTCAGGCATGCGTTGCATTTTCCTGCCTCCCTGATCTTGGTGTCTTAGGTCAGCTCTGCACCACTTCTGCTCTAAACTGCAACAATCACTGCCTAAGGATTGCGTGGCCCCCCAGCTGGCCCCTCCCATCCATTTGCTAGGGTCCTAAAACCCAGAACTGGCTACCTCACTTCCTCTGCTTGAAACCCAACAGGGGCCGGGCGCAGTGGCTCATGCCTGTAATCCCAGCACTTTGGGAGGCCGAGGGAGGCAGACCACCTGAGGTCAGGAGTTCGAGACCATCCTGACCAACATGGAGAAACCCTGTCTCTACTAAAAATACAAAATTAGCCAGGCATGGTGGTGCATGCCTGTAATCCCAGCTACTCAGGAAGCTGAGGCAGGAGAATCGCTTGAACCTGGGAGGCGGAGGTTGCAGTGAGCTGAGATCGAGCCATTGTACTCCAGCCTGGGTAACAGAGTGAGACTCTGTCTCCAAACAAAAAAACTAGCAGGGCTCCAGGTTGTCCAAGGGGAAAGCCTACAGGATCCACCCTGATCCATCAACTTTTCCAGGGTCCTCTCGGCACATGCCTCCTCACACCCACTGCTCCAGCCACACCCAACCACTCTCCAATCCCGGAACATGCCAGGCTGTTCCATGTTCTCTGGCTTTTCCCTCCATTTTATCTTCCACGAGTGTCCTACACCTGTGTCAGCCTCATCAAGACCAAACTCAGCTCAAGTTCAAGAGTTTCCTGAACTTCTCCCCAACACCTTCAGTTGACATGACCCTCCCTGCTTTGCATCCACACTGTGTTTATGCAGAATTCTGGGGCCCCATCTGTAATCTGCTGGTGTACTTAACTTTGACATGTCTCATTGCCCTTACAGGCTGTGATCTTCATAGGATTATTCATAATAATCATGATGAATGTATTGAGCACATGCTACATGCCAGGCCCTGCCTGGAGAACTTCCCATGAGTTAATTTACTTAAACCTCTTACCTATAGTGCCTCTAAGCTGGATACTAATAACCAGCGTACAGTTGAAGGAGTGGGAACGCAATGAGGTTATGGCAATCGGTGAGTCAGAACTGAAAGCCACATGCTCTGACTCCAGAGGCCACTCTCTTAACCTTGATTTACTTTTATACCCTATGCTTGCATGGTGGAAATTTGAATCTGAGAGTTGAGAGAGGGAAAGTTACTTGCCCAAGGTCACCCAGTGAGGTCTCTTCCCAGCTGGAACTGGAGTTCAGGCCCCCTGGCTCTTCTTTCCCTTGTCCTGGTTGATCCTGTGTCCTTCCCATGAAAGCCTGGGCTGATGCCCCCCAACAACAGAAAGGAAGGACCCTGGGCCAATCACCTGCAGACATGGCCCGAAGCAATGAAATGTCCATATAAGATTGAAATAATAAGCAGGGCTTAGGCCAAGCATCTGCTTTGTTTGCTTGGCTTGGTCTGTTTTCATTACAGACAATCTGGAATCTCGCCTGGGAGGCTCTGATGCTTCCTTTATTCTCCTGTTGGGCAGAAAACGGAGTAGGGTGGAGCGGCTTAGTGAGGAAGTGCTGACAGGGGGCAGAGCCGGTCAAGTCCACTGTCGGGCACTCCCCGTGAAAGACCAGATTGTGGGGAGTATTAGGCAGAGACCAGGGAGAGAGGAGCTCTCTGTCAGGGCCGGTCACTGTGGGGCAATCATTTCACAGGTGAGCAATGTCCCTCCAGGCCAACCCAGATGGTTCCTTGACTAAAGGTCGAGTTCTCAGACCCTGAAGAGGAAATTTACCAAGGATCACTTTGAGCAAGGGAAAAGCAAACCTTAATGAGCTCTGGAGGAGCCCGCTGCCCTGTCCTCAGCCTGACAAAGCCAAGGGGTCATGCAATGAAGGTGGGAAAGGGCGGGAGGAAGGTTCCAGTCGGCTGGAGACGTTTCGGCAACTTTTATAAAACCACCAGCAATGGTGCTATTTGTTATCCACTGTGCAAAGTCTCATGACGAACCATTGAATATGTGCCTTTCAGAATTAAGTATTGGGGGGGATGTTATCTCTTTGACAGAACCGGGGTGCTTCTTTTTGTCAGATAACAGAATCATTGGATCTCGGATTGGAAGAAGAATTCAACCCACCTCATGCTTGGCTTCACTCCTTCAATATGCTCTTCCAACCAGTCAGCCACGTTGCAGGTTTATGCTGGGGTGTCGTAAGAGGAAGGAATTTGCAAAATCAAATATATCACCTAGTAGAAATCAAGATGTGGAGGAATGTGGCTTTGCTGTGCAGGCAAATGGGCTCCTCAGGACTTAACCCCAGAATGAGACAGATTTGCCTCCCCCAAGCCTTGGAGGCAGCGTTGGGCCTCTACAGGCTTCCCCACGTAGGAGCCTGGCCTGCAAACTCTCCAGTCAGAAGCAGAGTAGATTCCATGCTCTTCGTGGGAAACAGAAAGAAGAGAAGAATGGACTGGTCCACACTTGCCCCGTTTCTCCTTCAAACTCTCTGATCAGAATGTCACCTGCTCCGGGGACGGGTGAGTGGCAGGCAGCCGACAGGCCAGGGATGTTGTTCCCTCCACATGGAAGGAAACTGCCAGAGTTTGGAAATAAGAGATGCCCCCATTATCATTCCCCCAACTGAAAGGTCCTCTGCTGCTGAAGAAAACCAGCCAGGACCCCCCAAGTCCCTCCAGAGTGACAAATTCTGGAGACTAGAGCCTCAGCAAAAATACCTTCTCTGCAGACACACCCATAGGCAAGCCAAGCAGGTTTGGGCAGCCAGAAGCCAGTGAAGGCACCTACCCTGTATCAAGATTATTTTGGCTGTAAATACTAGAAAATTCCAGTTCAAACTGGCCTAAACACCATGAAGTCCTGGTGATGAGTGTCTCAGTGAAGTCACCGATGCCCTAGGCTCTGTCTGTCTCTCCTGCTGGCCTCAGGGGCAACTTCCTTCTTGAGCGAGTTCCCCTGACCTACGCTGGCCGCAGGTGACATTCTGGGCTTCAGGGGTCTCTGTTCCCATCCACTAGGAGCAGGAAAAACCTGGAGGGAGACTTTCTCTGTCGTCTGACTGGGGCTGTCCACAAGGACTCTGATCGTGGGCACAACTGCTCCTCCGCAGGCTTTCCCATTTGTGGGTGGGCTGAGGAGGGGAAAGCCGGGATCCGCCTTCAAAATGCTCCAGCCAAAGCCCTTGGAATCATCCTCCACTCCTGCATTTCCTTCACACCCCACATCCTACCCATCAGCAAATCCTTTCAGCTCTACTTTTAAAATATTTCTAGAATGTACCACCCTCGTTCAAGCCACTGTCCCTTCTCATGGGGATTCTATGATGAAAGTGGGCTTCCAACAGGTCCCTTGCTTTTCAGTCCTTGCTTTAGTCTCACAACAAAGCGAACCTTTCAAGCCATAAGTCAGATCATGTGATCCCCCTTGCTTGAAACCCTCCGTGGCTCCTCATGCCATTTGCAGTAAAAACGAAAGTCGTTGCGGTGGCTCTGAGACCCTACATGACCCTTCCCCATCTTTCTGACCTGCAGCCCACCTCTCAGCCCTCCCTCCACTCCGCTGCATCCACATCGGCCTCTTCTCCAAGCACACACGTCAATGTCGCACCTCAGGCCTTGGCTCTTGCTATTGTCTGCCTGGAATCGACAGGATAGGCCTGTGACTTGTTTCTGCACTTCCTTTGGGTCTTTACTCGACGACGTCTTATTAGGGAGAACTCCAGCTGCTCTATGAGAAATAGTGTCCCAAGTCTGACCCCCCAATCATCCCTACCCCACTTTATGTAATTTATTTTCCCCATACTGTTAGCAGTGGAACCTTCAGCAACCTCCATTCTTGCCTTAAATTCGACCAAGAGGCCTAAGGCAGAGGGAAAGAAGGAGGCAGGCTTTAGAGCAGGAGTGAAACTGTATTTAAAAGCTTTAGAGCAGGAATGAAACGAAGTAAAGTACACTTGGAAGAGGGCCAGTCGGGCAACTTGAGAGATCAAGTGCACAGTTTGACCTTTGACTTGGGGTTGCTTCCGGGGTCTTGCATTCCTTCTCCCCTGATTCTTCCCTTGAGGTGGGCTGTCTGCATGCGCAGTGGCCTGCCAGCACTTGGGAGGGGCTGCAGGCACAGTGTGTTTACTGAAGTTGTGCGCATGCTCACTGGAGGCGTTTTGCCCTTCCCAGTCACGTGTTCCTAGAAGAAGGTCATATACCAGTTACATACACTCCGCCATTTTGCCTCTTAGTGCACAGGCTTGAGCCCACTCACCCAACTCCTGAGATCTAATCAGGAAGCTGCTGATCACCAGTTTAAGGTCTTTTCTTTTTTTCTTTTTTTTTTTTTTTGTTGAGACGGAGTCTCGCTCTGTCTCCCAGGCTGGAGGGCAGTGGCGCTATCTGGGCACACTGCAAGCTCTGCCTCCCAGGTTCACACCATTCTCCTGCCTCAGCCTCCAGAGTGCTGGGACTACAGGCGCCACCCGCCGCCACGCCCGGCTAATTTTTTTGTATTTTTTTAGTAGAGATGGGGTTTCACCGTGTTAGCCAGGATGGTCTCGATCTGACCTCGTGATCCGCCCATCTCGGCCTCCCAAAGTTCTGGGATTACAGGCGTGAGCCACCGCGCCCGGCCAAGGTTTTTTCTATCCATTAGGAGACTGCCTTTCTCTGGTGCCAGCTGCAACCAATTATTATTTTAACGAGACAATTAAAAACTGCCTGACCATCACCTGAAAGTCGCCTGACATTTCTGGTGGATGGGGAAGAGCCCTCTTGGCCCTCCTCATGTCTGCCTGACTAGCTACTCTAACAGTAGCACTCATCTCTCATCTCCACCTAATATGTCATATATCTATTTGTTTATCTTCCCACCCAACCCTGCCATTGTCTCCTTGGTGTCTACAACAGTGTCTGGCTTGTAGTAGGGGCTCAATAAATATTAACTGAATGAATGTCTGGGCTTTAGAGTCAGACGGACGTAGTTGAAATCTCAGCTTTTCTGTTCCAGCTGTGAGTCCTGCAGCCAATGACATAACCTTGCTGGGCCGCAGTTGTTCATGTATGAAATGGGAATAGTAGTACTTACCTCATAGGATTGTTATGAAGACTAAATGAATACTGTATATAGTGCATAGAATAGCACCAAGCACATAGAAAGCACTCGTTAGAGGTAGCTGTCACTGTCCATCATTTTTGTTATTACAATCACTGTCATCATTATTTATTCACAGGCTGAGTCACATGGTCCCAGACCAGTGCCCCACCCCAGCCTCCCCAGCCTCTTCTCTCCAGTCAGAGGTGGGGCGGGTGACTCAGGTGGTGGCAGCCTGCCCTGTGAGTCAGCCCAGAGCCCCGGCCATGTTAGGGTCCCCTGGCACAGTCTGCCTTGGCTAAGGGGCCCTTGGGTTGAGTCATCAGGGCCATGATTCCAGTGGGGGATACCTTGGCAATAGAGTTTGGCTGGTACAGCTTGCCCTCCCGGGTCCTTCCAGGAAGAGACTAGGCACCTGCCCCATGGCACTCTCAAAACCTGCACTTTGCCAGCTCAAGCCCATCTGTCACTGGAGTTTGCAGAAGACCCAGATGAGGGGAAGTGGGGAAGGGAAAAGATAGGAAAGAGAAAAGATAGGAAAAGGGAAAAGTTGCCTCCATCCTCTGCATTCAAACCAGGGCAAGATCATGGACAGATCATGGGGTTCTGAATTCTCCAGGACCAGATTCATATCCTCATTCCTCCACTTACTAGCTGGGTGCTTTCAGGCAAGTTCTTCGCATCTCTGAGCCTCATCCCTGAAATGGGAGGAACAACATCTCCCTCCCAAGATTGCCAAGAGGCTCTACTGAGTGGACATACACTGTCTTCATGTCTTTAATCCTTCACAAAGCCTTCTCAGCTATATCCTACAGGGTTTCTGAGCTTCAGTAACATTGTAAAGAGGAAGGAGGAATTGCCTTTCTCCTAATTTTCCTCCTAACTCCTCATTCCCTCACTTGCTCCAGGAAGGAGAGGGGCCAATCTAATCCTTCTTTCTTTTTTTCATTCAACAGCTATTTATTAAGCACCTACTATGTGCTAGGTGCTGTGCTAAGCCCTGGGTAGAGAAGTCATAGTCTAGTGGAATAGGCAGACAATGCAAAAGCAAGCAAATAAATACACAGTTACAAACTCAACTTGGTACTTCTTGGTGAGAAGAAGAGATTGTTAAAAGAGAGAAAAACACAGTAGAACTATCAGAGAAAAAACTTCTGACCTGGTGACACTTACACAAAACATATGAAAAGTGACAACAAGCCAGCCAGGCACAGAACAATGGAGAAGAACTTTCTGGGGGCAGAGAACAGCAGATGCAAAAGCCCAAAGGCAGGAAAGAGTTTGGGTTGTTTAGGAAGTGCCAGACCAGTAAGTTGGAGTGTCACGGGCAAGGGCAGAGTGGCATGTGACGAGGCTGGGAAAGGCACCGGGTGAACACGAGGCTCCCCTCCCAATTCCCCTCTTCTTAGGATCACAGCCTTGCATTGCCTATTTCTGCTGCCTAGAAACAGTTGGCTCATAAATTATTTCCAGTTTTATAGTTGTTTACAGAGACAGGGCTTGTCTGGATACGTCATGGCCAGAGGCTCATCCAGTTGTTTTGAAGATTAACTGAGATAATACATGTAAACTGTGCAGTACAGTTGCTGGCACATAGTTAATGCCCAGTAAAAAGCAGGAAAGATGTCTTGAAAGAATGAGTGTGAAAATGAGATGAAGCCCCATGCCAACACCCACTGTGAATTGTTATTTTGCAGGTTAATCTCCATAATCATTACAAAGAAAATTCAGGTGGACTCCATCCCCTCACTGGGGAAGACTTCTGCACCCATCCCCCCTCCCCTTGTGAATCAGGGCCCCTCAGCCGCATGCCCTTTGTGGTGTTGGTCACCCTCTATAGAATTATCTGTTCATGTATCTGCCTCTCCCATGGACTGTGAACTCCTTCATGATAGAAATGGTACCTTAATAATCTTTTTAATACACCGTTTGAGCAACATTTTCTTTTCAGATATGTTTAAGGACTATTCTAAATAGCGAGCTTACTCTCACTAACTAACCCACCTTTGTATGCATTAAGAACATGGTCCTGATGCATCTATCTTGAACAGAGTTTATACCATCTTAAAAAGTGTGATATCCTTTTAATTTTCCTAAAGTGTGGACTTTTTTAAAGTATAGATTGACTAGGCTGGGTGCAGTGACTCACACCTGTAATCCCAATACTTTAGGAGGTCAAGGCAGGAGGACCATTCGAGGCCAGGAGTTCGAGACCAGCCTGGGCAACACAGCAAGACCCCATCTCTACACACAAAAAAAAAAAAAAAAAAAAAAAAAAAAAAACCAGGAAACCTATAGATTGGGTCATTGGGTCATTGGGTCATTGGGTATATGGATATACCTCCTCCCCCCAGCCCACCCCATAGGTTTCTCAGACCTGTGTTTTACATGAGGAGCAGTCAGGCTTTTTTCCCTGGGATATAACACCAGAGACTTCTGTTATTTACTGTTAGAGGAGAACTCCAAAAGTCATCACATTAGGGCTCCAGTTCCCAAACTCGACACTGAGAAGTCCTGGAGCGCCACAGACTCATGGGGGTAGCACAGTATATTTTTAATTTTCAAAGGAAACATAGCAATTCTCAGCGTCTGTCAGACGCCATGTAAATTAATGGCCGAAGTAGTTTCGTTTCTAGATTGGATCGTATGTTTCTTTCAGTGATGTTGCATCTTTGTGAAGCTGAGTTTTTGGTGGTGGTTGTGCCAAAAACTAAGTACCATGTGAAAATCACGTGGGAGAGGAAATGAGGGTAATGGTGTCCAATCTGATTCTAAGGTTCAGGAATTTGTGCACTGCCCAATAAGCACATACATCCCATTAGTAAGTAATTGTAGTTATTTAGGAATGAAATAAAAACATTCCGTACTTTTTTTCAAATGGTTACTAAATTGTTAGGATGTAAACACTTAATAAGCTATTTCGCTCTAACTACTTAATACGTGAATCTGCTTAGTACTTCTTTGGCCTTAAGAATGCCGTGAAAAAATTCTTGAGATGGGCACCATAAACCAAGAAGGCTTGGGAACCTCTGCTTTAGGGTTTTTGCAAGTCCCCATTGCTGCTTCTAAGCCTTTGATGAGCTCGGGAATTGATTCTGAGCTAAACTCTGTGAGCATGACCTGGTATTAATATTCGTCACACAGAACTTGTACTTAATCCTGTCTTGAGAGTCTGGGACATGCAGGCTGGTTAAGAATTTCCTGGGAGGTAAAACAGAGATTTAGTTTATCCCCCTTGACCCCATCCGACTAGTTTCTTAATGAGCTGATACCCCTTTGGAATGAGCTGGATGCATGCCTTCCTGTTATAAAAACAGGAAAACAAGCATCCATTTGTGTGCCCGGGTTATGGTTTTATTATCTCCAACTAGGAGTGGCCTGAACATCCAGTTGGCCCTGCCAGCTAATTTTTGCCAGAAAGAAAGGCCACAGAGTGACTGTTCTGAACCTATGGTGATTATTTTTGGTATGCATCCTCCTGACTTTTCACTGATTTGTAAATAACCTGGTTCAGTAAATTACCTCATGCAGTTATCTTTACTTTAAAAAAACCAGTATGTCCCGGCCATCACACCAGGAGGGAGCATGCTCCAAGCTGGGACTTCTATGGAGGCTTGCTGGAGAGAAACTCAGCAGGGTGAGCAACTGGTCATGGTTGCCTTAAATGTTTTCTGGGTGATTGAAATAGGGCAATAAGCTTCAGTTGCTTATGTGTTTCTGTATCAGGATTGATTCCAAATCACTTTCTGGGAAGGATCTTGGCCTCACTCCTTGTGTTCCTCTCTCAGGGGAGATGGGATGTCCCCTCTTCAAGCATTATTCCCTATTAGCCTTCAGCTTTCGTAAGAGGATGTTAAGACCCAGTTTTCTGTTACAGCTTGTGAGTTTCAGCATCAACCTCAGGGCTATTGCACCTCCTTTTTTCCTCGGCCTAGACTCTCTTCCCACCACAGTTCTCATGACTGGCCTCTTCATTCATTCTTTCAGCAATTATTTATGGAGGACCTACTATGTGCCAGGCCTTATGCTGGGTGCTAGGGGTATAAAAAGGAATAATAATGATAGTTATAACATTTATTGAGCATTTGTGATGAGCCAGGTGCTCTTTTAGTGCATTTACATGTAGTATCTCATTGAATGCTCAACAGCAATCCAGTATTCAAGTTATCCACATTTCGTTGATGAGGAAAGTGAGACACAGAGAGGTTAAGTAACTTACCCAAGGCCATGCAGCGAATAAGTGATGGAGTTGGGATTTGAGCTTGCATTTTTTTTGTCAGCAAGGCAATTTTACTTCTAGAGAAGGGTGTGTCTCGCAGATGGAGCAATGGCGAGAGCACACCGGACAAGGGAGGGGAAGGGGGTCTTATTCCTAATGCAGCTAGTTCTTACTGCTGTGTCTTTCCCCTATTGGCTAGGGTTGGACCATACAGTCTAAGCTAATTCCGATTGGCTATTTTAAAGAAAGCAGGGGTACGAGCCGGAGTGGCGGGGTGAATAGTTTGGCTGGAAGGACGGTTACAGAGCAGGTGACTAAGGATGCCTAAGGACAGAGAGCTTGCATTTTTAAACATGCTGGTAAATTGCCTCCCTAGCAAGACACTGAAGGTTCCTAGTCTTATGAGCTTATATTTTAGTGGAGGAGAAAGGCAGTAAATATATTAACAGACAAGTAATTTCAGAGAGGTGAAGGTGGTAACAAAAATGATAATAAACCAGGGGATTTCAGTAGAGACTTCCCAGAGCGGACAGGGAGGAGTGGCCACTGTATATCAGGTACTTGGAAAAAGCCCGTATTGAGGGACCATCTGGGCTGAAACCTGAAGCAACCAGCCACAGACAATATTCAGGAAAATTGTTCCAAGCAGCAGGAACAGCAAGTGCAAAGTCACTGAGGCAGGACCAAGTTTGGCTGAACGCAAAAGAGAGATGGCCAGACACCACCTCTCCAACCTGGGCTGCACACATCTGCCTGCAGAGCTTCAACAGACACTGGTACCTCCGGAGATTTTGAGGAAATAAGCCTGACATTTGGCCTGGGCAAGGGGAATTTTCAAAGGAGATGATGGCGATGGTCCAGTGAGGGATGATGATGGTGTGGACCGTGGTGGTGGCAGTGGAGGTGGCAATGTCTCTCCTTCAGCTGCTGCTCCCCCATGTAAGATTTTTAAGTGGCTCAAAGCCAGCCTTTCTCCCATACAGCCCAACTGTAGTCCACAGGAAGCATTTGCATTCTGAGCCTGGATAAACTCTGGGATGTGGGCCAACCCCAAAGGCTGGGATGCTCACCTACAGATGCCCTAGGGATCAGCACCAGTTCACCAGGCCCCACCTCACTGGGTGTCCCATAGACTCTCTTACCAGACCTATCTACCAAAAGGCCAGAGTAGGCTGACACAACATTTTCCAAAGAAACCACCATTTCAAAAAACTTCCCTAATCTCCAGCAACCTAACCTTGTTATATAATACATGGGTGAGTCTGCTAGGTCTTGACTATAGCAGTCTCTCATAGCACACTTTGGGAAATAGCAACTTTGTCTTCTTGATTCATTTCAGACTGAGACAGAATGAGACCCATTTCTATCACCTTACATTATTATATTTATAGAATATTTCCAGACAAGTACAAAGAAATCTTATCACCAGGAGGCTTGAGGTTTAGAATTATTTTTTTTCCAGATTTCCTTTTGATATCTTTTACCTTTTTTGCCATGTCTGTATATAATTTTTTCAAGTAATTAATAAGCTTTATTTAAAAACGGATCAAAATGATCACTGCATTGCATTTATTGGCCATCTGCAAACTGCTTTCTTTGAATCATGCTTTAAGGAGAGGACATGAGGACATGAGATGCTCTGGACTGAATTGTGTCCCCGGTAAAGCCCATATGTTGGAGCCTTAATCCCCAAAGTGATGGGATTTGGAGATGGGATCTATGGGAGGTAATTAGGTTTAGATGAGGTCACGATGGTGGGGCCCTCATGATGGGATGAGGGTCCTTATAAGAAGAGATACCAGAGAGCTTGCTCACTCTCTCTCTGTGGCACATGAGGACACAGCCAGAAGGCAGCAATCTGCAAGCCAGGCAGAGCGCCTCACCAGAACCTGACCATGCCAGCACCTTGATCTAGGACTTCCCAGTCTCCAGAACTGTGGGAAATAAATGTCTGCTGTTTAAGCCGCCTAGTCTCTGGTATTTTGTGATAGTAGCTCCAGTAGAGTAAGACAGAAGCCTAACTAAGTGACATTATAGGAAACAGCCAATCATCAAAGAGCATTGTTGAGGCTTACATTTGTTACATATCGCAGTGTCCTCTATAGGAGGAGCTCAGGAGAAACATCATATGATTTTATTGCAAGAATGGGTTGTAAATCTCTTAGGCACCTCGTGCTTTTTCCTCTTAGGGAGACTGAATCATGTTACTGATCAAAGTTTCTTTTCTTCAACAGACACACAAAAAAGGGGCCACATCTATATCCAGACATAACCACTGTTAACCCCAGTCTAAGTACAATTTTATGTCCTCATCTTTGTTTTTCTCCTTTAGTCCTGCTTGTTTTTAACCTAAAAGTTTCAAATATATACAAAAGAAGAGAAAATGGTAAACTGGAACCCCATGTACCTTTAGCCTCACACTAAAAAAAAAAAAAAAGAAAAAAAAAAGAAAAACCTTTGACCCAACTTCAACCATTATCCACTGATGCTCAATTATATTTTATGTACATCTCCAATCTTCCTCTCAAACACCTCTGGATACTTTTTTCAGATCTAATTCTCATGCTATAAAATTCACCCTTCTAAAGTGTTTTCAGTTTTTTGTTTTTTGTTTTTTGTTTTTGAGATGGAGTCTCACTCTGTCACCCGGGCTGGAGTGCAGTGGCGCGATCTTGCTCCACTGCAACCTCCGCCTCCCGGGTTCAAGCGATTCTTCCGCCTCAACCTCCCAAGTAGCTGGGATTACAGGCGCCCGCCACCACTCTCAGCTAATTTTTGTCTTTAGTAGAGGCAGGGTTTCACCCTGTTGGCCAGGCTGGTCTCAACTCTTAACCTCGTGATCCACCCACCTCGGCCTCCCAAAGTGCTGGGATTACAGACGTGAGCCACCGCACCTGGCCTTCAGTGTTTTTTAGAATATCTACAAGGTGGAAGCATCACCGCTGTATAATTGTAGCACATTTTCATTATCCCACATCAATTAGCAGTGACTACCCATTCCTCTCCCCCAAGTCCTTGGCAATTGCTCCTCTGCTTCCTGTCTCTGTAGATCACTGGAATATTTTAAAGCAAATCTCAGATATCAAGTCATTTCACCCATAAATATTTCAGTGAATATTTCTAACACACAAAAGCTTCTTTTTTTGTCTCTAATGTAGCCAAAGACCTAAAAACATAATAATAATTCTTTAATATCATCTAGTATATCATCAGTGTTCAATAGCCTCCTGTTAATTGATGTGTTCCATTGTATGCAGACAAGTCCTTCATATTCACATGGTTAGTATGACATAAGCCTCTTATGATCTATAACAGTTCAGTCTCCTCTGTTTTTTTTTTTTCCTTGTCATTTATTTGTTGGTGGGGGGAGGCCATTTTTCCTGTAGAATTTCCTACATGCTAATTTGGCCAATGGCAGCTCCATGTTGTTCCTCTATCACCTGCATTTCCTGTAAACTAGTAGTTAAATGCAGAGATTTTTATCTGAATCAGGTTCTGGATTCTGGCAAGAATACTTCCCTGGTGCAGGGTGGGGGTAGGGGCCATTATCTTGCATCACATCTGACTGGCAAGTCTCTCTGTTGAGATGTCAAGAGTGGTCCTTGAGCTCAGGTATCGTCTGCCTGATCCACACATTATCAAGTTTCCCATCAGCCTTTCCCCAGTGGCCTTGGCATTGATCAGCATTGCCTCAATCTGTTATTGCATTAGGGGCTGCAGAAGGATGATGTCCTAATTCTATTTCTTTTGCATTTAGTAGCTAGAAAACATCAAAGAGAATATTTCTTCATCACTGTTATTTACCCATTTATTTTGGAATAGTGAGATAGTGTCTTAGCACCCTCCAAACATGACCAATGATCTTTTTGTCATTGGTTATTAACAATTTGATGTATTTCAATCTATTGAAGTCACTATTCTTTCTGATACTCAAGTTATCCCATCTTTGGCTAATGGGAGCCCTTTTGAGTTGATTTATGTGTCTTCTTGACATGGTAGCTTTCCTTTTACTAGCATGATAAGATGTTTTGAACTCATCTTGTACATTTTCTGCCCAAACCTGGAATCAGTCATTTCCCCAAGGAGCCATGGAAGCCTTTCAATAACATAATGGGTTTTAGAGACCACAATCTGGGTGCTAAATATGTTTATTCTTATTTTTTTTTTTGCCATTTCTAGGCCTTTTTGGCAGACACAGGGAAAAATGCATATATGTTTTTAAGAGAAAAATACATCATAAATTCATCCTGATATTTTGAATTCAAATCTTAGATTACAACACTTATTTATTTTATTTTAAAATTGTATCTCTTTTCTCTTATATTTAAAAATCTTGGGTCCTAATAGCATTATTACTATTATCATGGTTTAAAATAGCAATACCATTATTATTACTAACAAGTTGAATAAAATTTTATATTTCTTAGCAGTTTTAAAAAATCTTTTGGATATTTTCTGCTAGGGATATATAGTTACTGTTGTGTTGAGCTTTTTTTTTTTTTTTAATGTGGTTAAACAAATTATAGAACATCTACCATGTGCCAATTACTGATCAGGCTGTTAAGAAATAAATTCTAGTGTGAAGGACAGTCAAATAAGTATATTATAATACTGTGGGTTATAAGTAATAGTAAGAATTTATTCATCTAAGAAATGGAATATCACAGAGATCCACGTGCTCAGCCTTCTGTTACAAAGTCACTTGAAATAATTCTTCTCTGTAAGTTTAAGCCACTAGCTTAATATATTGTTAGACTAACTTTATTTTGTTTTCTGTTTTCAGGAAATTCTTTCTCCAGTTGATTTATTTTGTTTTATAATTAATAACCATTTTTGCTTGATTCCAAAGCCAAAATTATAAAAACAAGATATATACAGTGAGGACTAGCCTCCATCCCCGTCACCTCCCGCTTCCCTTCCCTCTATAGGTAACATTCTCATTTGGTTTTGGTTCATTCCTTCATTGCATTTTTTTTTTTTGAGACAGAGTCTCGCTGTGCTGCCCAGGCTGGAGTACAACGGTGCAATCTCAGCTCACTGCAACCTCCACCTCCTGGGTTCAAGCAATTCTCTTCCCTCAGCCTTCCAAGTACAGGTGCACACAACCATGCCTGGCTAATTTTTGTATTTTTACTAGAGACTGAGTTTCACTATGCTGGCCAGGCTGGTCTCAAACTCCTGCCCTCAAGTGATCCACCCACTTTGGCCTCTCAAAATGCTGGGATTACAGGCGTGAGCCTGCGCACCCAGCCTGTATTTTTTTAATCAAATATGTGCATTGTCCACAAAAAAATTCTTGATAAAAGTTTGCATGTTGGCTGGTCATGGTGACTAATGTCTGTAATCCCAGCACTTTGGGAAGCCAAGGCCGGAGAATTGCTTGAGCCCAGCAGTTTAAGACCAGCCTGGGCAACATGGTGAGATCCTGTCACTATAAAAAATAAAAAATTAGCCAGATGTGGTGGCACATGCCTGTAGTCTCAGCTACTGGGGAGGCTGCGGCAGGAGGATTGCTTGAGCCCAGGAGGTTGAAGCTACAGTAAGCCATGATCATGCCACTGCATTCCAGCCTGGGTGACAGAGGGAGACTCTGTCTCAAACAAAAAAAAAAAGCTTGCATGTTATCCTCATTATTCTGCACCCTATTTTTTTCACGCCATAGCAGTATGTAGATCCTCCTCATTGCCTTCTCTTGACTGCAAAGCATTCGATTGTGTGCATGGAGCACCATGGATGCAGCTGTCCCCTGCTGAGGAGCATGTGGGTCAGCAGTCAATGCACCATCCCGGTGGCAGTCCGCCCTACATACCTTCTTATCCCAAATGCCTCCTCTGGCCAGAGGACCATCCCAACATCCCTCCAGCTCCATCCACAGCTCTAGGCCGCCCACCCCTGTCTTCAGGGTCTCATCTAACTTCATCCTGTCCTCAAGGCTTAAGGTGGAGCTATAAACCTCTGAGATCATAGAACATGGCCCAATTGTTGACAGAAAACTTTCTTTTACACGTAGTGCTGCAATAAACAGCCTTGCGTGCATACCATTTCATGTGTCTTCCATTATATCTTTAGGATGGATGTTTAATAGTGGAATTACTATCATCCGGCTTTTAATTACGTCTCATGTTGTATGTTATATATCTTTGAAATTTGCCATAAATTCTTTCTAGAACAGGTGGCATAAAAATATAAATATTTTAGGCCAGGCACGGTGGCTCACGCCTGTAATCCCAGCACTTTGGGAGGCCGAGGCGGGCGGATCACAAGATCAGGAGATTGAGACCATCCTGGCTAACATGGTGAAACCACGTCTCTACTAAAAATACAAAAAATTAGCCGGGCATGGTGGTGGGCGCCTGTAGTCCCAGCTACTCAGGAGGCTGAGGCAGGAGAATCGTTTGAACCCAGGAGGCAGAGGTTGCAGTGAGCTGAGATCGTGCCACTGCACTCCAGCCTGACGACAGAGCAAGATTCCGTCTCAAAAAAATAATAATAAATAATAAAATAAAATAACCTGAGGCTAGGCACCATGGCTCAGCCAGTAATCCCAGCACTTTGCCAGGCCAAGGTGGGCAGATGGCTTGAACTCAGGAGTTCAAGACCGTCCTGGCCAACATGGTGAAACCCCATGCAGGCTCGGAACAGCAAGTGCAAAGGCCCTGAGGCAGGAATATGCCAGGTGGATTCTGGATAGAGGGAGGGGACAGTCTTATCTGATCTCTGCTGGTGAAACCACACCTGGGGTCTGTTGTGTAATTCTGGGTATTATGTAGTTTAAGAGGTTGTCAAATGTGGGCGTTTCATGATGGTGAAGGGCCTGGAAGCAGCTCGTATTAGGAATGGGTTAAGGAAAGAATGACTTGTGCACACCTGGGTGGCTCTCTTCAAGTGGATGAAGTGCAGACACAAGGCAGAGGGCTAAGACTTACTCCATAGAATAACGAGGGCCATTCATTCATTCCTGGTGTGATATACACCAGAACAGGTTAGAGGTTTCCTAAAAGGGATTGAGCTGCCCTGCCTGATAGTAAGCTCCCTGCTATTGGAGATATTCAAGCAAATAGCAGACAGTCTACTAAGTATGTAGATGACTTTCCCATCCCGGGTTGGATTTTGTAATTTGGAACAGGAGACCTCTGAGCCAAAACCCATTCAGAAGATTTGGAATTGCATCCTGACTCCTCTCTCCACTTTCTCTGCCTCTGTTTCCACTCTCCCTCCTTGCTCAGCCTCAGGACAGAGCACACATGCATGCATGCACACTCACATACACACATGTGTGCACACAAGCACACAAGAGGGTAAAGCAATTCAGAAAGCAAGAGAGGAGAAGAGTGTGAGAACCTGAATGGGGAGACCATGAGGGGAAGGAGGCAGGAAAGACAGAGAGGAAGGAATGAAGAAGAAATGAGAAGGAGAAGAAGAATGGCAACATTGAAAAGAGGTCAGGAAAACTGAAGGAGACAGAGAAGGAGGTGGAAGGGAGAGGCTGGAGAAAGATAAGAGAAGAAGTAAGCAACAAGGAAAAATCAAGGAGGAAAGAGGTGCAAGAGGGAAACAGATGGCATTAAAAGCAAAAGGAAGAGTGGCCGGGCATGGTGACTCATGCCTGTAATCCCAGCACTTTGGGAGGCCAAGGTGGGAGGATCGCCTGAACCTACGTGTTCAAGACCAGCCTGGGCAACATGGGGAAATTTCATTTCTACAAAAAATACGACAAAGAAAAAACAGCCAGGCGTGATGTCATGCGCCGGTAGTCCCAGCCACTCAAGAGGCTAAGGTGGAGGATTGCTTGAACCTGGGAGGCAGAGGTTGCAGTGAGCCCTGACTGTGCCACTGCGCTCCAGCTTAGGCGACAGAGAGAGACTCTGTCTCAACATCAACAAAAAAACAAAACAGAGTAAGAGAGAAGGCAAGGAGTGTTAGAGGAAAGGGGAGAAAAGGGAGGGAGGAGAGAGTGAGAAGGCAAGGACGCAAGAGAAAGGAGAGAGAGAAGGAGAGAGGAGATAAGAGAAGGGAGAAGAGGGGCGAGGGAGGCAAGGGTGTGGGTGGGTCTGTTTTGGAGAGTTCACAGTGGCCCCATCATAGCCCCTGGGGCAGCAAATGGGTAATCTTGAATCACAGCTCATTGAGGGCTTCCTGTTTTCAGCTTGTCTTTGTGAACCCTTGGAGGGATTTCCAGCCAGTAAATAAAGCGGAGTGCCAAGACTCCCTGCCCAGGCTAGCAGCCATTTCACCATCCTCAGGGCTGTGTCCCCAGTGCCCTCTCACCCCAACTACCCTCTCTGGCCTGAGGACCATCCCAGAGTCCCCTCCAGCACCCACCCACCGAGGCTCCAGACCACCTCCCCTCTTCGCCAGAATCCTGGAATTCTTCCGGTTCTCAAGAACTTGTGAGGCAGGCAGTAACCCTCAGAGAGCGTAGCACCTACCCAAGAATGCATGGAAATATCCACCTTATAAAAGACAAGTTTCCTTGAAACAGTTTCTTTGCCTTTTTTTGGAACTCTCTTGTTTTTCCTTCTAGTTTCTTGCCCCCCTCCCAAATTATAAGCAGGTCTTGATCCAACCTTCTTAAATTCAATCCAGCAAACTTGTGTAGAGCATGTACAATCTGCTTGGCACCAGTGCAACAGCTGGGGACAACACTCGTCTGTCCTCAAGAAGCTCACAGTCTAATGGGGAGACAGAAATGGTGGTTCCAGGGGTAGAATCCGTTTTTTATTGCCCAGGTGTCATACAATGTGGGAGACCCTCTGTAAAGAAAAAGAACATAAAATCAGCTGGATGTGGTGACGCCTGTAGTCCCAACTACTCAAGTGGCAGAGGTGGGAGGAATGCTTGAGCCCAGAAGTTCAAGGCTGCAGTGAGTCATGATTGCACAACTGCACTCCAGCCTGGGTGACAGAGTGAGACCCTGTCTCTTTAAAAAAATAAATAAATAGAAATAGAAAATAAAATAAAAAGGAACATTTGGCCAGGGCCTCTCCTGAAGCTTTGAAATGCCTGTGTATAAGATACCCGGGCTCACGCCTGTAATCCCAACATTTTAGGAGGCTGAGGTGGGTGGATCACTTGAGGTCAGGAGTTCAAGACCAGCCTGGCCAATATGGTGAAACCACGTCTCTACTAAAAATACAAAAATTAGCCAGCCATGGTGGCACGCACCTGTAGTCCCAGCTACTTGAGAGGCTGAAGCAAGAGAATCGCTTGAATCCAGGAGGCAGAGGTTGTAGTGAGCCAAGATTGCACCATTGCACTCCAGCCTGGGCAACAGAGTAAGTGAGACTGTCTCAAAAAAAAAGAGAGAGAGAGAGAGAGACCTGGGTTCCATGCTCACTGTTGGTGACAACAGAATGGGACCCCAGTGCACAACCACTCAAACGAAGACAGAAGAGAAGGGTTCCCAGAGGGCGCCTGCCCACTCCTGCATTAAACCACTATGTCTGTGCTTTCTCCCTTTGCTCTCTTTGTCTACTCTGTGAAAGAATGCATGATGTATTCCACAAAAATTTACTTAGGGCTTGTATAATAATTGGGATAAATTTCAGCTGCCATAACAAAGACTTACAAAGGCATAAACAAACTAGGACTTTCTTTCTCTGCTCTGCACAAAAGCAGCCCAGGGCTGGCCTGGAACTACCATGGTTTCATGACCATGGACTTCTTCCATCTTACTGATCATCCATGCCTGGTGTGTTGCCCTCAGCTACACTGTCAAAGATGGTCCACACTCCAGCCAGCAAGGGGAGAGAAGCGAGGAGTACAAAGCCCTCCCCTGCCCTTTAACGGCACAGCCTGGAAGTTCATACACCTCTTCCGCTCACATCTTGTTGGCCAAAATGTGGCCACACAGCGGTATGAAGATGCCAGGGAGAGGAGAGAGTGTAAAGTGTACCCTGGATGGACACATGCCCCCCATATCAGGGTGCATCATGACTGTAAAGCAGGAAAATGATGCTGTGGACAGCTAGACACTTCCGAGGTAGCCCACTCTGTGCTCAGGGCTGTCTAGGAAACCAAGGTGCCAAAGAAATTCTGGTTCTTTCCAAGGCCACCAAGGACAGAAATGTGAGTTAAACAAGCCGTCCCTGCAAACGCTCACCCGATTCTTTCATTTTGGCAATTCCGATTCTCTCCACCTGACCCTGAATACTGGCTGAGATGAAACCCCAGGATAATCAAAGGGGCATTGGAAGAAGAGGTGGCAACATAGACTGTGAAGAAGTTGCCAGAAAGAAGGGTGAGAACTGGGAAAACAGTGGTACAGAAATCATATTTCCCAAAGTTCACTAATTTCAGGTGCTACAGAGGGTCAACGCAGGGCAAGGACCAGAGGCATTCTATGGGATTTGCCAAAGAGTGGACTAAAAGGGACCTTGGCCAAATCAGTCTCAGGAGAATGGTAGGGAGTAAAACCTAAAGAAAGTGGGTTGAGGGGCAAGTGGGGAATGAAGATGTAGAGATAGACAGTGGTGCGTAACTGAGGTTCTGAAAAGCAGGAACATGTTGAGGAGAATGGTGGATCCTTGATCACGTTAATCCAAAGAATAAAGAATCAATGAAAAGCAAGAGAGTAAAAATAATGAGCAGAAATGTCATTTGGCTGCTTTAACAAAGACCCACATAATAGGGGCCAGGCGCAGTGGCTCGAGTGTGTAATCCCAGCACTTTGGAAGGCCGAGGCGGAAAGATCGCTTGAACCAAGGAGTTTGAGACCAGCCTGGTCAACATAGTGAGGCCCTGTCTCTACAAATAATCAAAAACTAGCCGGGCATGGTGGTGCACGCCTGTAGTCCCGGCTACTCGGCCGGCTGAGGCAGGAGAATTGCTTGAGCTCAGGAAGTCAAGGCTGCAGTGAGCCATGATCATGCCACAGCACTCAGCTTGAGTAACATATTGAGACCCTGTCTCAGAAAGGGAGCTTCACAGTGCTAGTGACCCAGGTCCTTCCATCTTTCTACTCAGCCATCCTCAACATGCAGCTTCCATCTCATGGCCCAAGATGGAGGCTGCTGCTCATACCATCATGTTCACATTCCCTGCCAGAGCAAAGAAGGAAAAAGGACGGGGAAGATTATTTTCATCTTCAGGGCACCACCCAGAGGTTGCTAATATCACGGCTACCCAGGTTTCACCGGCCAGAGCTTGGAGACTCAGGCACATCTACCCGCACGACAGACTGGAGCAAAGTAATCTCTGGCTGAGGAGGCCAGGTACCCAGCTAAAACCAAGGGCTTAGAAGGCCCAGAACAAAGGAAGGAGGCACACCACCGCCACTGCAGCTGGGAGGAAGAAGTGGGGTAGCTGAGTTTGAAAAGGGCTGGAAAATAGGGAACTCTTGCCTGGTCACCTTTATTTTCTCTGCAAATTGAGACCTGGAGTCATCACTCAGAGAGCCAAGAAGAGAGATGGCTTTTCCAGCCTCTCTCCTGTTGCTGTTTAGGTCCGTTGTGGTAGAACAGGCAGGCACCTACTTACAGACCCCTGAGATGGTTCAAGGAAAAGCTGTGCCTTCGGAGTCCAGAGTTTCAAGCCTAGCTCTGGGCTCAGCTGCTTTATAACCTTGAGCAAGTCAAGAAATCTCAGTTTCCTTATCTGTTAAGTGACCACGACAGTGCCCAGCCTGCCTGCCTGCTCACAATCCTGTTTGGGCCCCACGGAGAGCTGTAAAGACTCTGCATAAGCATCAACGCTGGTGGAAATGTGAGTGGGCATTCTTGTGGGAGGGACAGAGTTGCCAAGGCAAAGCTGAGCCACAAAGGGCAGGCAGAAAAGGGCTGAGAGGAAGATCGGAAGGACGTGAGATGGGGTGTGGCCGAGACCAACCCCACGTGGACCGCCTAGTGCCCGGCCACTCCACAGGGCTCTGCCCGTCTCTGACCCAGCATCAGAACTCCTCTGCTGTCGGGGTGAGGGTGACAGGGAAGTGGGGAGCCGCTTCTGGACAAGCAGGGCTCCCGTGGCCAGTGGGAGGGAGCAGCTGGCCCAGCTGTCCACAGCCGCTGGGAGTCAGCCTCTGTTCTGTCTTAAGATCACTATCATAGAGCCTTGGCCTCGTCCTCTGCGCTTGGCCTTGGAAGCTCTCCTGGGACCTCTCCCCAAGCCCAGGACACCTCTCTGTGTTCCTGGCTCAGTCTAGTCAACAGTGTGAGTTTCTCTCCCAGCCTCTGGCCTAGCAAAGCTGGCCTCTCCAGTGTGTGCCTGTGTGCGCGCGCACACACACACACACACACACACATACACACAAACAGAAGCACTGCATACTATATACCACATGTACAACACACACCACACACAGCAAACACACCACACACATATCACACACTACACACACACACAGAAGCACCGCATACTACACACCACATGTACAACTCACAGCACACACAGCAAACTCACCACACACACATATATCACACACTATACACACACACATATGAATACACAAAGAACATACCACACATAGCATACAGCAAATATGCAAACACACCACACACAGACATCTCCCACAAACTCCACAACACTCACCAGCATGCATGCTCCCTACACATACACACCATGCACACATGCACGCTCCCTTCTTCCTAATGGCCCCTCTGTGTCTCATATCACACCCATCCATTCCATCCTCTACACAGCTGCTTCAGTGATTTTGCTAAAACGCAAACTACACCATTTCCTTATTTAAACTCCACTCCCTCTTCCAGTGGCTTTCCAGAAAATTCAGGCTAAAAATCCTAGCTCCTTCCCAGAGACTGTGGCCCTCCACAGTCTGTTCCCCCATGGCCCGTGCCGCATCCCCCATCAGCGAGTCTGTGCCACCTGCCCTTTCCCCCACTGTGGGTTCCTCGTGCATCTCTGGAGGATGGCCCCACTACCTACCTCATCCATCTGAAACATGTTCATCCTTCCAAACCCAGTTCAGAGCTCACCTCCTCTGTAAAGCTTTCTTGACCACCCAAGCAGAATCACTCCCTTCCTCTCTGCAGCTCGTGCGGTGTGTGGTGGAATGATTTGCTTCCCGTGTCTGTCTCCCCTGCCAGCAGGTGACCTTCTGAAGGGAATTCGTGTCTATAGACAGAGCACTTGTTCCTGGCATAGGGTGGGCTCAGTGAACACGGGGTGGGTGGCACTCATCCCCCTCATCCTCCCACACAGATCAAAGTGGAAAACCAGCTTGACTTCCAGGACATCACCAGCGTGGTCGCCATGGCCAAAACCTACGCCACCACCGAGGCCTTCATCGACTCCAAGTACGACATCCGCATCCAGAAAATTGGATCCAACTACAAGGCTTACATGTGAGTCTCTGGGGCAGGGGCTGGGGGAGTGTGGGAGGAAGGCAGCCCAGAGGTGCATGTCCAGCCGCTGTCTCCTGCACCCAAGGGTGCATCATTATCCTCCTTCCTGTCTCCTTACTGCCCTTCTTCTCTGTCCAGTGTGGCTGAGGGGCTGATGTCCAGTCACTGCTTATCCCTGGGCAGAGATCTGTCTACCCAAGCAAGGGCTGTTTCCTCCAGAGCAAGAAAGGTGCTTGGCATGTCTAGGGAACTGCACATACACACAGGATATATGTCTTTGAGAGAGAAATTTGGGGACAAATCAAGGAGGGCTTTGAATACCTTGCTGAGGGTTTTGGAGTATTTTTCTCTTCTCTTCTGAGCAAAGGGTCTGATCTGTGTTTATAAAAAGGTGACCATGAGGCTGGGAGGTGCAGAACGGTTTCTCTGAAGCCAATAAGACCAGTTAGGAGGTTACACCAGATTTCTCTGCCTGCAAGCAACAGAAACCACATCTCATTAACTTAATGGGTTTTTAAAGGGAATTTACTAGAAAACCATGGGTTATCAGAAACTTTAAAAAAGCAAACAAAAATATCTCCCAACTCAATTATCAATTTCAGAAACATTCAGATACAGAGTAGCCCCAGGAAGGTGGGCAGCCAGAAATAATAATAAACAATTTTCATGGCATCCCTACTGGTAAATGAATCTGCCCTAGTCATTTTCAAGGCTTAACTCAAGATTGTGATTCCGTGGAAAAAGTACTGATTAGTCCAACTTTGATCGCATTTTATTGATTAGAGAAAAGCAGAAAACTTTATAAGAAGGCATGCAGTGTGGGCAGAGCCATTGCCCAGTGGAAATAGAGGTGCTGAATCTAGAGGAAAAGGAAAGAATGCCAGGCAGAGAAAAGCAGCCCGCCTTCACCCTAGAGGTGGTTCAACAAAGCACGGATTACATGGGGCTGTGGTTATAAGGATGAATGGGGACTTCTGGAATAGGCAGACTGTCTCGTTCTTGGGAGAGGTCTTTGCTCCAAGCCCTCTCTATCTTTCACTCTGGAATGTTATTGTTAGTTCCACTTGAAATGATGAGACCCCAGAGGGCCAATCGTTGCCTGGTTGCCAAGCATTTATGGGGCACTGACTGTGTGCAGGGCTCCATATCTGAGGACTGCAAGGGTTAGCCCTGGACAGCTGGAAAGTCCCTCCATCCGCAGGCTTCTGTGTGGGTAGCTTGTGCTTTAAGCTAGGGTTGGCAAACCACAACCACAGGCCGAATCCAGCTGCCACCTGTCTCTAAATACAGTTCTGTTGATCACAGCCATGCACGCCCATTTATGGATTGCCTGTGGTTGCTTTAGCACTACCTGGATTGCCTAGACCAAGGGTCAGCAAACTTTTTCTGTAGAGGGCCAGGTGGTAATTTTAGGCTTGACGGGCTATATCGTCTCTGTTGCAACTACTGAGCCCTGTCATTGCTTGTGAAACTGGAGGAGGTGCAGGCAGTTGCCCTAGAAGGAAGTGTTCCCAGGAAAGGGATGGAGCTCATTCTTGAGGAGTAACTGCCCTATTCCACTAATCAACCTCTTCCTCCTGTGAGGCAAGCCAGACCTGCCACTGCTCTCAGATGGCCTCGGGGTGATAAAATCACCTCCTCCCTGCCCCCTCTGAGTTATGGCCCATTCCAGTGCGTTCCTGAGGCCCCTGCCTTCAGCCATGATATCATTTCCCTCCTCTCTTCATTGTTTGAGCTTCCACTTGACATTGACGACACCTTGTCCCAGTTTTTTTTTTTCTTGAGGATTACCTCATTGCAGCATTTTTCTGCTGAGCCTCCCTGGCCTGACAGCTCCACTTTGTCATTACTTACCGAGTTTCCTGGACCTTGGGCTGGCCCATCTCCAAAGGAGGGGGTTCATGTCAGACTTCAGTGTAGAATTTCCCCGGCCATTCAACCCCCTCTCTGGCCCACTCCTTGCCCTGCACTCGGGCCTTTGTGCTTGTCGCTACTGGGCTGTCATTCTTTCTAAGTCCTAGCAGACACAGTAAGGAAGTACATGTGTGTATCCTTACCCGTGTATACACATATATCCATAATTTTTTCTATATGTTCCCATCCACATCCCTATGAAGCTAAACAGAGTCCTATGGATGTCCCTGACTTTCATCTGGTACCACTTCGTTCATTTTAGCCTTTCCTGATTGCTAATCTATAACTTCCCACTCCAACAGAGAAAAATCCAGCTCCCCCATCCACCATCTATTCCACTTTTTTGGTTCCATCTCAGTGTATGTGCCCAGTCTCAGAATGGTTCACCTGTAGCTCCATGGGAAACAACCTTGCCAACTACGGTGCAGTGCCTTATGGCTCCTGGTGGTCATCTATTCTCAGCATTTTTACTTCAATTTTCTCTTACAATGATACATTTTTGTGTCAATTCCTCTCACCAGTTCACCCTTTGATCTCAATGACATAGCTTCCCTTGACCGTAAGACAAATAGCTTTACCTCCACCACTATGCTTAAACTCGTTCAGTCTTTGCCGAGGCCAGATGCATCATTAGTGATAGATAGCTTGTCTGGATTCTCCCCCAGTGTACACAGTTCCTCACCCAGTAGGTGCCTACTGGGCACCTACTACCTGCCGGATCCCACTGGATACTGGGTATACAGGGGATGAAGTTAAACATGTCCCCTACCGTCAGGATTCTCCTCCATCAGAGAAGAGAGGACACTAATGCAGTCATCAGAAGGGAGATGAGCATTACTGAGCATTAGTGTAGGGCGTAGTACCGGGCAGTCTATTTTTGCTGTGTAAAGGTGGGCTGTCAGGAAGTCGTATGTCAGATGAAACCTGAAGGATGAGCAGGACTTAGGGAGGCAAAGATGGAGACAAAGACTGTACGGAGTAAAGGGAAGAAGACCTGCAGAGGCCATGACATTGGGAAAGAGCCATGGGCAGTGGAGCACCGGAAGGGAGGTCGGTTGTTACTGGAGCAGAAAGGGCAAGGAAACAGAGAAGGATGGCAAGACAGTCAGAGACCAGAAGGCCTTCCTAATCTTCACCAGAGAAAAGTAGTCACTTCTCTCTAAGGATCACTTTTCTAACATTTTGGGGCCCTCAAAAGATTCCAGAATCACCAGGGGCTATACACACTGCCCTCATTCTCCTCAAAAACAGGCCAAAGTTTGGGGGATTTCATCAGATGATGTAGGCATTTTTTAATTTAATCTTTCAATTTCAAAGATGACTTAGAAAACAATACCTAGGATCCAACAAATAAAAAAGGCAAACAGCATGAAGGGAAATAAACATAGGAAAATATAGTTGAAGACAAGGTGTGTACGTAAGAATACATGCCATTACGTGAGCCAGTTATTTGAATCAGAGCCTCCTAACAGCCAAAGCAAAGAAGGAAAGCAGATCAGTGACGAGGGTCCCTAATTCCCTCAATGTGTTGTTTGTTCTGGTACAGGAGAACCTCCATCTCTGGGAACTGGAAGGCCAACACAGGCTCTGCCATGCTGGAGCAGGTGGCCATGACAGAGAGGTAAGAGACAAAGGAGGTGTAGGGAGAGGCACTGGCCATAGTAGGAGCTGAAGGGGGAATGCAACAAAAGGCCCTGAAGAGAAGGCCACTCCGCCCTCCGTCCAGTGCCTCACCATCCACAGAGCACTTTTTTAGACATGATCATCTTCACTGCCCACAGCAACCTACAGGGCAGGTATTAAAATAACCCCATTTTACAGATGGGAGAAGAAAACTCAGAGAGGGGAAGTGATTTGTCTAGGATCACAGAGCTAGTTGATGACAGAGCTGAGAGTAGAACCCTGATGTCATGACTCCAAGTCCGAGGTCTTTCCAGCCCTGACCAGCTGCTATAGGAAGAGGTCAGGAAGCCCTGGCCAGTCCCTCCTGTGCTCTGACAGCTGCAAGGAAGCATTATTAGGAGACCAGGCATATTGGAGAGTCCACTTCTCTCTCAAGCGTCCTTCCATCTCAATATGAATAGGGAAAGGTTGACGTCCCATGAATCATGCATGTTTTAGGGATGCTCTCTGGCTGAAGGGTTTTTCGGTCTTTCTCCCTTTAGACACTGTGTGCCAGCCCCACTTAAGGAAGTGCCGGCCGGGTGCGGTGGCTCACACCTGTAATCCCAGCATTTTGGGAGGCCGAGGCGGGCAGATCACCTGAGGCCAGGAGTTCAAGACCAGCCTGGCCAACATGGTGAAACCCCATCTCTACTACAGATACAAAATTAGCCAAGCATGGTGGTGGGTGCCTGTAATCCCAGCTACTCGGGAGGCTGAGGCAGGAGAATCACTTGAACCCAGGAGGCGGAGGTTGCGGTGAGCTGAGATCGTGCCATTGAACTCCAGCCTGGGCAAAAAGAGCAAAACTCTGTTTAAAAAAAAAAGGGGGGGAAGGGTCGAAGGGCCAAGTCAGCTGGTCTCAGGGCCTGCCACATACATACCTTCTTGCCTGCATGCCCTGTGACCTCTGCTAGCAGCCACACAATAGCAATGGACAGAGCATGGGCTGTGAACTCAAAAAGCTCTGTTCAGTAAACACCTATTGAGTACCTACTGCAGGCCATGTTGTGCTGAGCGCTAAAGGATGAAAAAATCCAATCCTTCCCTCTAAGAACTCTGTATCGGTTGCAAGGGCTACCACACAAACCAAATTGGTTTGCGCAGAAAGGGGGATTTACTGGCTCATGTCACTGACGACTCCAGATATACAGTGTCAGGTAAGGCCTTAAGGCTCCTCCTCTGCCCACCCAAGTTCAGCTTCTTTGTGTGTTGGCTTCATCCAGGCAGGCTCTTTCATTTCATGGTGGCACACAGTGGCTCCAGGCTTTCATCCTCACAGTGTCAGGTTCAAAAGAAGGAAAACTTCTGTTTCCCAGTCATTTCAACCAAAGCCTAGAACTGAGCCATATGTACTGGTTGGCCTGGCTTAGGTCACATGACCATCCCTGAACCAATCACTATGGCCCAAGACACTGCAACGCTGTGATTGGAGGCCTATGTCAGGTCTGCACCCCTGGAGACTGGAGTGGGAGCATCCCCTACAGCAACAAAGACTGAGTGTGACCTTAGGCATGCTCATGCTTTCTGAGCTTCTTCAACTGCAAAACGAAAGCAGTAGTAATACCCAAGTCAGAGTGCAGGTGTGAGGACTGAATGAGAGAGGGCTGCACCTAATCCAGAACCAGCCCCTGGCAGGGAGGAACACCTGTCCTTCCCATCAACCCCAGGGGGCAGCTGCCACCTTCAACCTGGGAACCCACCTGTGCTAATGAGTCTCTTGGAGGCTGCGCTCATGACCTGGCACGACTGAATCATGTGGCTGAGGCAGTCACCTCCTTCCCCCAACAGGTGTTCACGGGACAGTCGTGGCCATCTTCTCTATGGCCCTTCCGGAATGTGAGCCCAGCCTTCCCCAGTGCCTCCTGAGCCACTCACAGATGTCCCCAGCAGGCCACCTATCCCTGGCTCTGCCAAGTCCCAGGCTGCATGGGCCATCCCTGGAGGAACCTAACGTGGGAGTGGGCCTGCCCAGGCCTGGAATCCACTTTCCCTTTTCCAATCACAGGCAGAACTCCAGGGTCTGGGCTGGAGAGATCCCCAGTCCTATCCCCACAGGAGCAAAATCCATACAGGGACTCATACACAGGGCCTGACCCCGCCCTCCACTGGCTCGCCTGCTTGCCAGGTGGCCTGACTCCTGGGCAAAACCAATGATGTCGCTTGGTCAGTGCTAGTCCCACCTGGCAGGAGGGGAGCAGGGCCCCCCCCCCGATTCTCCAAGCACTCTCACGCTGCTGTACGCCTGCAGCCCCTTCCTAGACCCTGGGATGCCTGTGCCCTATGGGGCGTAGCCAGCAGGGGACCCCAAGGTTCATCCTTTCAAAACAGCCTCTGGAAACAGCTGCCTCTGGACCTCAGCTCAAATTTCCACGTTCCATTGAGAAGAAACCTGATTTATGAGTGTGTCTCAGGGCAGAGCTCACCCTGTGTGTGGCACCCACAAGTCAGCCACTGGGGCCAAAAACGAGGACCCTGATCAGAGAGCCCAGAGGATTCTTCGAGCTCCAAGGACCCAAGGTTGTCCCCAAACGTGGCCACGTATCAGAATCACATGAAAAGCTTTAAAAAATTATAGAAATTACTCTAACATAGGGTGGAGCCCCAAGTCTGGCTGTTTGTGCGTTTAACTCTCCTGGTGATTCTGATGTACAACCAGAATCAGATCTAGGCTTTCCCATTTTATGATAAGAGGGAGAGGCTTTTCCAAAATTATTAAGGAATTAATAGCAAGAATGTAGGTCCCTGGTCTCCCATGCTGAGTGAGAATGGATGGGCTGGGGCACCTTCAGAATGAGAGGAAGGGTGGCTTGCTTGGAAGCTGGAATCAGACAGGATCTGGATTTGGAAGCGGTACAGTCACTTAATCATCGCTCTGAGCCTGTTCCTCCATCAGTAAGATGGGTTAAAACCTTCCTCATAGAGTTGTGCTGGGATTCGAGGGAATGAGGAGTCAGCCCCCGGGCCCAGAATGCCTGGAACATACCAGGAGCTCCATGGGTGTGAGTCTCCATCCTTCTTTTTATTTGATGATCTCACATGCTCCGTGCTACAGCTGAATGAGAAAACTGGACTGGGAGTCAAGGAGATCGAGGGAATCCTGGTGTTCTTACACCTTACTGTGTGATCTGGACCAGCCACCCTCCCTCTCTGGGCCTCAGTAGGCTTTGGTGGATGAGATGAGACTCCATTCTAAGAGCATTCCAGTCACAGTCCCTCCTCATCCCAGCACTTGTGGCTCAGAGACGCAAAGCGATGTGAGAGTAGGCGTGCCCCGTGTGACCCTGGAGAGTGAGAAGCAAGAACATTGACACAGAGTCCCCTGTGACTCCCAAATCCAGCCCACAGGGGAAGCTAAGTGCAAAGCTGGAACAGTTTCTTCACATACAACCACCCCCTTGTTGCAGGGTCAGAGTCCAGTGCTGAGATCTGTCCCCAGCAAAGCAAACTGGCCTTGCAGACATCAAGTGGCTGGAAAGGGAACAAAAGCAGTGGGTCTAGAGGGCCAGGCCCCCTGGGCGAGGCAGAAGCAGCCTGCCAGTCTCCCCAGCCCACCCGCCCCGGGCCCTGGGAAAAATGCACCCTTTGTCCTCCACAGCCTCTTGTCCGGCCAGGGCTGGGACTGGAAGGGCAGCCTGGAGGGACTTCTGGAGCCCTTGGAGCAGCTTTCCCAAGGGAAAAGGGACACAGGGGTGGCTGGGTGTCCAGGATGACTCCGGATGGGGACAGGGCAAGCTCCCCATTACTGCAGAGCCAGCAAGTCCTGGGGTCGGGGGAGACCTCTCCCAACTCTGGTTCCTTCTCTCCCTGCCTCTCTCCCCTCCTTCCTGGCTCTCTCGTGTTCTTTCTCTGGGTCTCTCTCTCACTGTCATGTGTGTCCCTGCCTCTCTCCCTGCCTCTCTGTCTCTGCGTGTTGGACTCCAACTCTCTCTCCGTCTTTCTGTCTCTCTTGCTGCTTCTCTGTCTCTCTCCATCGCCGTCTGGATGTGTGAGTCACTGTCCCTCCCTGCCTGTTTTTCCATGTGAATCCACTTCTCTCCCTCTACCCGCTTCCCCACTTTCCCAGGCCACTTCACTGTCTGTCCATCTGTCCCTGCAGGTACAGGCTGTGGGTGGACAGCTGCTCGGAAATGTTTGGCGGCCTGGACATCTGTGCCGTCAAGGCTGTCCACAGCAAGGATGGCAGAGATTACATCATCGAGGTGAGGGATGAAGCAGGGAGTCCTCCTGGCTGGTCCAGCCTGGCAGGCGTGCCAGGGGGAGGGAATCCCTGCATGGTCTTTGGCACCATCAGCTGTGTCCTGGCTCCAGGGCACACGCAACCCAGGCCTCAGTGAGTTGCTTCTGGAGGCTCCTTCCCACCCTCAGAGGCATCGAAAGGCTTCATGCCTGGGGACTTGGAACTGAGTCGGGAGACCTCAGGGCCCGAGGTTGAACAACATCCCCAACCCACAGGCCTAAGGGAAGGAAAGGGCATCTGGTCAAGGGTCAACAAGATACTGTCCCATGGGGCCCCTTCCATTTCCCCAGTGTCCAAGCATGTGAAATGGGCACCTTCCTTGGTCACCATGCAGACAGTCCATCATTTGTTCATTCAACAAACATGGCCTTAGGGGGCTCCCATGGGCTAAGCATGGGTGTGGCTCTGGGGATACAGCCGTGGACATAATAGACATGGGGTGTGCAGGCTGGCAGGGGAGAGGGTGAGAAACAGTGGCAGAGCATTGAGGATTTGGAAGGGGGATGGAATGGTACAGGGGCATGAATAGAGGGAAAGATGTAGGGAAACAGAATGGTAACAGAGGGCTCACAGAGGGGCTGTGGGTCCCGGAATCTCTCTCAAGACCCTCCAGCAGCCCATGCCTCTCCCAATCCTATAGTCCTCCCATCCCCGCCGCTTCCTCTCTCTGTTTCCCCGTATCCCACTAACCCCCACCTCTCCTCCATGTCTTCCCAGTGTCTCTCACGGTCCCACAGCCCTCCCGTCCCCTCCCCAACTCTTCTTCCCTGCCCCCCCACTCCATGTCCCATGGCTCTCCACTGCTTTCCCCTGAAAAGGCCCCTCTGGCCTCAGAGTCCGCCATAACTTCCCATCTCCACACTCACAGCTCCAGTGCCGCGTCCAGCCCCCTCCTTCCATGGGCGGTGCTGACACAAGGCCAGGACACGTGAGGGAGAGCCCTGCGGCCGTCCCCTCCCCGGGGTGTGGGCGGCTAATGGGAAGCACATGGCTGGGGTGACCACAGGAGCCAGCCGGTCCTCCCGTCTCTCATGTCTGCCTCGCTCCCCAGGGGCCCACGGCCAAGCAGGACCAGGTGACTCAGTGGGTGGGAGCCCAGTCATGCCAGGAGGGTGTTCACACCCAGGCCTTGGAGGTAGGAGGAGGGAGTCCAGGATGAACACAGCCCCTCTCTCCTCCCCAGAGAGGCCAGGAAGCTCCTGCAGGAAGAGCTGCATCTGCATTAGCAGACCTAGTCCCACTCTGGAGAACAGCTCTCCTCTCAAGGCCCGGAAACGCCTTCCCTCTGGCCGCCACCACACCTGAAGTTCCCCAAGTAGCCCCTACTTGGAGGAGCCATGGAAGGGGCTGGGAACAGACTCCTTGACCTGTACAGTTGCTCCCTGGAGGAGCCGGTCCCTCGCCTTCTGGGAGCTTCAGCCCAGAGGTGGGGCAGGAACCCCCAGCACGGCAGCTCCTGAGACCCCACCAGGTCCTCCTGCCTCTGCATCCCCTCACGGGGACCACCAGACATGAACCCAGATTTGGCACACACGCACTCATTTGTTTATTCACTGAGCCGCTGCTCCAGGAGCCAGCCCCCAAGCCAGGTGGACACAGTACAACTGCAAACACAAGAGCAGGGGCCCTGTCTCCTAGAGCTCCCGGACTGCCCTGACCCCCAAAGGCCAGCTCCTCCCTTGCACCAGCAGTCTCTCTGTCCCCTGTGAGCCCCTACCTCTCCGGGTCTCAGCTTTCAGTCTTAGGGAAAAAAAAAAAAATCTGTGTTCATGGGCTCAGGCTTCCTGCCTTTAGCCATTCAGAGGGTTGGGGATGAAAGACCTTTCACATTAAAAAAAAAAAAAAAAAAGTAAAAGTAGTGGGCTCGGACTTCAAAAAATAAGAAAACAACGTCTCCCAAGAATGTTCCAGGGGAAAAATGAAAGATAGCTTTTCAGATTTTTTTTTTCCTCGCAGAAACATTGCAGAGTTGTTTCCTTTGCTTTTGAGTTTGGAGTGGGGTCAGGGGAGATGGGAAGCTTGTTACCAGAAATATAAAAGGTATTTTCCCCCAGTAAGGGAAAAAAAAAAAGGCAGAAGAGATCCCAAAACACTGGTTTCTTCAGCCATCTCTGTGGTGAGAACTGAAAATGTGTGTGAAATGTTTTGTGAAGAGGCTCACAGTGAAATACTCAGGGGAAAAGACCCTTGAACTTGTCCTCTCTGACCTTGTCCGGGGAATGACATTGCTCACTGGAAAAATGTTTCCCTGGGGAGACGAGGGTGGCCACTTCCTTTGGCTGTCTCTACCGTGGGGATTCCAAAATGAACCTCAGGTTCCTTGCGGTGGCTGTTTTCCACTGCAGGGAATGTAGGAAACAGAGACCAGAATAAAATGGGGTTGGCAGGGGCAGGGGGAGAGAGGACAGGCAGGGTGCAGCAAGCCTGTGTACCTTCGCGGCAGACTCCACAGTCAGAGCTCAGCCAGTGGTGACTGAGAGACTGTCCCTGTCTGGGGCGCTGGGATCCAGGAGGCCTCAGTCCCAGGTACGACCTGCGCAGAGCTCAGGACCCTGCTAGAAGCAGTACTCACATTCTTTTTTTTTTTTTTTTTTTTTTTTTTTTTTGAGACGGGGTCTCATTCTGTCGCCAGGGGAAAGAGGGAAGAGGAAAGGCCTGTTTTCCGGGGCCCTGGCAAAACCCAGGCGGGAGGGAAACGCGTTCCACAGGGAGCTGGGCTATTCTCAAAGTGCTTCTATGGGGAGGAGCCTGAGGGATCCTAGTTTCCCCTTCTGCTCTTCTTACAAATAGAGCAACTTGGCTCACTGCAACCTCCGACACTCCCAGGTTCAAGCGATTCTCCTGCCTCAGCCTCCCGAGTAGCTGGGATTACAGGCACCTGCCACCACGCCCGGCTAATTTTTTTTGTATTTTTAGTAGAGACGGGGTTTCACCGTGTTGGCCAGGATGGTCTCAATCTCCTGACCTCGTGATCCGCCCGCCCCGGCCTCCCAAAGTGCTGGGATTACAGGCGTGAGCCACCGCGCCCAGCCAGTATTCACATTCTTAAGCTAGCTTTTCAGTTTCCTAATCAAAGTGGGTGCTTAAACTCACAGATCCCTACAAGTCCCAGCTGGAAGGGTCTTAGCAGCTGCCCAGATCCCTCAGTTCACTGTTGAGAAAAAAAAAAAAAAAAATAGGCCCGTAGAGGAAAAGAAACTTGCCCAAGATCACAGAGCAAATACACAGCAGAAGCCAAGCCTGGAACCCAGGTTCCCTCTTCTCAGTTCCTACCCTGGTGTGCTGTTCCAGTGCTTGGTGGGAATTAGCCTGATGCAGTGGGAGGACCGTGGGTTGCCAGTGCTGTGTCCTTGACCTTGCCACTTCTTTGACCCTCTGCTTCCTCTTGATTACAATGAGGATAATAGTACTGCCTCAAAGAGCTATTCTGAGGTTTATGAGAGATCCTCCACACCCAATGCTTAGAATAGAGCGTAGCACGTAGGAAATGCCCCATAAAATACGGCGCTTCTTAGTATCCTTATCCTTATGAGCCGGGCTTATCACAAGGGCGTCTTATTCCTCCACTAAACAGGTGTCTGTGGAGGGCACACCTGCTTAGCAGGACACGGGGCCCATTCCTAACCTTGGGGGCTCCCAGTCTGGTGGTGGAGACATAGTAAGCAAGGGGTGACAGTGCCGTGGATAAGCTGTCCCGTGTGAAACCAGGTGAGAACGGCAGGATACAGTTGTCAGGTGGCTCGTCAGAGCTTGCACTATCAGAGAGGGCTTCCTGGAGGAAGACCTAGTTAGCTGTTCCCTGTTGGATGAAAGGAGTTGGCCAGGTAAGGAGTGGGTAGAGGGATTACATAAGAACCTGGAGGAGAGAGAAAACCTAATATGTCCAGAGCGTGGGAACAGGGGAGACAAGACGGTGAGTCTGATGGGGTGGCGTGGGTGAATGCAGGCCGCCGACTCCTGCAGTGGAGCAGAGAGGGTGACGCGGCCAGCTGTTCCGCAGATGCGCCAAGGCCTGACAGACACCCCTTCCAGATCTCCCATAGCTTCCCATGCCCAGGGAATCACGTGGAGCATTGGCCTGTGTGACCTTGGGCAAGTCCCCTCCCATCTCTGGGCCTCAGTTGCTCTATTTGTAAAAACAGCAGAAGGGGAAACTCGGATCCCTCAGGTTCCTCCCGATAGAAGCACTTTGAGAACAGCCCAGCTCCCTGTGGAATGCTTTTCCCTCCCGCCTGTGTTTTGCCAGGGCCTCGGAAAACAGGCCTTTCCTCTTCCCTCTTTCCTCTGAACCCTGGGTCAACTCCAGCCCGCGTCATATTTTTGTCATGATCAAGCCCCCACCTTTACTGTTTCTGCTTTGTGGAAAGCAGCCTTGACCTGGGGCCAAAGGAGAGGTGGCCAGCCCCGACCCTGGGAGGGGGCCAGGGTGAGAAAGGAGGGGGCGGAGAGCGGCTCCCCAAAGAAAAGCACAGAAAAGGTCGGCAGAGGCTCCCTGGCCCTTGTCGCATTGCTGTCATCCAGCAAACGTGGGCCGAATTGAACTACCTCCAGGGAGTGGTTTAGACTGAACCGAAGGGAACTGATGTCGCTGCCGGCCAGTCCCAGCTGGAGGTGATTTGCATGGAGGACATCGCCATCTGGTGGTCACTTCTGTCCTGAGCCCTGAGCCCCCACTTCTGGGATGTGATGCCCAACCGCCATCTCTCCTGGCATGGGGGTCCCTCAGCTCTCCCTTCCTCCCCACAGGTAATGGACAGCTCAATGCCGCTGATTGGAGAGCATGTGGAAGAGGACAGACAGCTGATGGCCGACCTTGTTGTCTCCAAAATGAGCCAGCTCCCGATGCCAGGAGGCACAGCGCCCTCCCCCCTCAGACCTTGGGTAAGACCCTCACGATCAAAGGAGACTTTATAGCCATGAGAAATGCCAGGCTGTCTGGAAATGGGGAGCCCCTGGATCCAAAGGGGATACCCCCAGGAAGAAACCACCTTGGGGAGAAGGAATGGGGGTGTGGACGAAGGCCAGACATTGGGGAGAGCTTTCACAGCCTGCCCCAGTAAGTGAATTGAGGAGGCTTTCAGAGGCCCCTTCCCTTCTTCACCATCCTGGGGAGAACAATCTTGTCTCAAATGGCCTTTGGGCACTGTGGGCAGAGATGATCGACTGCTGTCCCTTCTGTGCCCTCGGTGCTGGGCCTGAGCAGGATGTGTGTGCGTGCGTGTGCGAGAGCATATGGACACACAAGCCCTCTGTGTGCTCCCAGGGAACCAGTCAATGGACGCTATTGTGTCTCCCATTTTCCCCAACCTCGATGAGCTCCCACGTCGCTCCTCCCCTCCACAGTTCCCACCATGGATTACCAGACTGCTCTCCAAAGAATTTGCCAGCTCCCCAGCTTTATGTAAAAGCAAGTCCCCAAACTTCCACCTCCCACCCCAGATTTCCCCACAGAAAGTAATCTATGATAACAAACATCAGAATCGTAGTTATTATACTGACGGGGCTGCTGGCTGGGAAGGGGCACGGGGCAGGCTTTATCGCAGAGAATGCCCTCTGTTTTGATCTGGGCAGTGGTTACACCGACGTATACACATATAGAACTTCACTACACTGTATACTCCAGAACTGTACACTTTATGTGTAAGAGTCTCTTCTCAATGATAAAAAGATCTTCATAAATGCTGCCCTCTCACCCAGGAAGTAAAGGGCTGTGGTGATACCAACAGGCTTCTTTTCTCTTCTGCTCTAGGCTCCACAGATTAAATCAGCGAAATCCCCAGGGCAAGCCCAGCTGGGGCCTCAGCTAGGCCAGCCCCAGCCACGCCCACCTCCGCAAGGTATGACCCAGGACGAGCCACTGCAAGAAAGCATGCAGTGAGGGTGCTGAAATGCACCGAGGGATCCACATGTGATTCCCACAAGGGGCTCTGGGAAAATGCACCTGAATACTTTATCCACAGAATGAATGAGACTATGGGGTTGGTCAAACTCTTTAAAAAGTCAAGAAAGGAGAAGGGAAATAGAAGGTTAATTTATTAAGAACCTAATATGCACCAAGCACTGTGCCAGGGAATGTCCCACCTATTTTCTCACTTTTATTTTCCCAGCCGTCCTGCAGTGAAAATGTCATTATTTCCTTTTTTTTTTTTTTCTTTTGAGACAGAGTCTTGCTCTGTCGCCAGGCTGGAGTGCAGTGGTGCGATCTCGGCTCACTGCATCCTCCACCTCCCAGGTTCAAGTGATTCTCCTGCCTCAGCCTCCTGAGTAGCTGGGATTACAGGTGCACACCGCCACGCCCAGCTAATTTTTGTAGTATTAGTAGAGATGGGGTTTCACCATGTTGGCCAGGCTGGTCTCAAATTCCTGACCTCAGGTGATCCGCCCACCTCAGCCTCCCAAAGTGCTGGGATTACAGGCGTGAGCCTTTCTACTGCGAGGTAAAAGTTGAGGCTTTGCCCAAGGAGGCAGAAAATGGTAGATTTACAAGTCTGGCCTTTCAGACCTTTCAAACCTAGGAAGTGTTTATTCATTTCAATGAGTGGTGCCTGATGATAGATTTGTGAGTCGACCAGCTAGAGTAAGAAAGATAGAAAAAGGGAAGATCATCTATAAAACCTTGGCCATTGAAATTCCTCCTCAAATATATTCCAGCATTACTACATTCCACCACTTATTAGAGAATGGACAAACTATTGTAAAAAGATGAAAAGCAATCAGGGCAATGGCTAACTAACTTTCTCAAAGAATATCAGCTGCTCTGATATTCTTGCATGCAGTCTTGAGAGAAATCCGCCCCGTATCCTCTCTTGCAATCAAAACCTCCTGGGCACACTCGCTCTGGCACCAGCATGGAGCTTCAGAGCACCTGTGCACCAAGAAACCAAAGCAGGCAGTCTCGCTGCAATCTTTTAAGGATCTTCTTAAAAACCTATCAGAGGCCGGGCGCGGTAGCTCAGGCCTGTAATCCCAGCACTTTGGGAGGCCGAGGCGGGCGGATCACGAGGTCAGGAGTTCGAGACCAGCCTAGCCAATATGGTGAAACCCCATCAGTACTAAAAATACAAAAAAACTAGCCAGATGTGGTGGTGGTGTGCACCTGTAATCCCAGCTACTCGGGAGGCTGAGGCAGGAGAATCGCTTGAACCCAGGAGGCGGAGGTTGCAGTGAGCCGAGATTGCGCCACTGCACTCCACCCTGGGCGATAGAGGGAGATTCCATCTCAAAAAAACAAAATAAAATAAATAAATTATATATATATATCAGAAAGAAGGCATTACTATCATGTTGTGGCCTTCCCAGTCACTATTATTAAAAGCAACAGATTCATTACTTTGTGAAAAAAAGTCAACCTTGGCCACCAAATGGCTTCCTCTTCCACAGGTCTTAGATAAAATGTCCCATTCATTTTTCTTGTTTGTGTTTCTCCTTCTGGAAAAGCAGGAGATATTTTTAAGAAAAGGGAAATTGTATAATTGTACACAACTGTGTACAGACATACCTCAGAGATATTGCTGGTTCGGTTCAAGACCACCCCAGTATATAGTAAATATCAGAATAAAGGGAGTCACACAAATTTTTTGGTGCATATAAAAGCTATGTTTACACTACACTGTAGTCTCTTAAGTACAATAGCATTATGTCTGAAAAAAACAAAGTACATACCTTAATGATAAAATACTTTATTACTAACAATCGTCTGAGCCCTAGGTGAATAGTAACCTTTCTGCTGATGGAGGGTCTTGCCTCAATACTGATGGCTGCTTACTGATCAGGGTACTGGTTGTTGAAGCAAGGGGTGACTGAGGCAATTTATAAAAATAAGGCAACAGTGAAGTTAGCTGCATGCATTGACTCACCCTTTCACACAAGATTTCTCTGCAGTACGTGATGCTGTGTGATAGCATTTTACCCATAGTAGAACTTCTTTCAAACTTGAAGTCAGTCCTCGCAAAACCTGCTGCTGCTTTATCAACTAAGTTTACGTAATATTCTAAATCCTTTTGTTGTCTTTTCATCAATCTTCATAGCATTTTTTTTTTTTTTTTTGAGACGGAGTCTCCTTGTCGCCCAGGCTGGAGTGCTATGGCGTGATCTCCGCTCACTGCAAACTCCGCTTTCCCGGGTTCATGCCATTCTCCTGCCTCAGCCTCCCGAGTAGCTGGGACTACAGGTGCCCACCAACACTCCCGGCTAATTTTTTGTATATTTTTTAGTAGAGACGGGGTTTCACCGTGTTTGCCAGGCTGGTCTCGATCTCCCGACCTCGTGATCCGCCCGCCTCAGCCTCCCAAAGTGCTGGGATTACAGGCATGAGCCACTGCGCCCGGCCCCTTCATAGCATCTTTATCAGGAGTAGATTACATCTCAAGAAGTCACTTTATTAGCTTATCCATAAGAAGCAGCTCCTCATCAATTCAAGTTTTATCACGAGGCTGCAGTAATTCCATCACATCTTCAGGCTTCACTTCTTATTTTAGTTCTCTTGCTATTTCCACGACATCTTCACTTACTTCCTCCACTGAAGTTTTGAACCCCTCACAGTCATCCATAAGGATGGGAATCAACTTCCAAACTCCTGTTAATGTTGCTATTTTGATCTCCTCCTATGAATCCCAAATATTATTAATGGCATCTAGAAAGGTAAATCATTTCCAGAAGGTTTTCAATTTCCTTTGCCAAGATCCATCAGAGGAATCACTGTCTATGGCAACTATAGCTTTATGAAAAAAATTTTTTTTTTGAGACAGAGTCTCGCTCTATAGCCCAAGCTGGAGTTCAGTGGTGCAATCTCGGCTGACCGCAAGCTCCACCTCGCGGGTCCTGGTTCAAGCAGTTCTCCTGCCTCAGCCTCTCAAGTAGCTGGGATTACAGGCACGCGCCACCATGCCCAGCTAATTTTTGTATTTTTAGTAGAGATGGAGTTTCACCATGTTGTCCAGGCTGGTCTTGAACTCCTTACCTTGTGAGCCACCCGCCTCGGCCTCCCAAAGTGCTGGGATTACAGGCATGAGCCACTGCACCTGGCCAAAATGTATTTTTAAAATAATATGACCTCAGATTTTAAATTACTCCTTGATCCATGAACTAAAAGACGTGATATGTATTAAAAGGCATGAAAACAAAATTATCTTGTACATCTCCATCAGAACTATTGTGTGGATAGATGCATTGTCAATGAGCAGTAATATTTTGAAAAGAATCTTTTTTCTGAACACTAGGTCTCAACAGTAGGCTTAAAATATTCAATGAACCATATTGGAAATACTATGCTGTTATCCAGGCTTTGTTTTTCCATTTACACAGCACAGGCAGAGTAGATTTAGCATCATTCTTAAGGGCCCTAGGATTTCCAGAATGGTTAATGAGCACTGGCTTCAACTCTAAGTCACCGGCTGCACTAGCCCCAACAAGAGAGTCAGCCTATCCTTTGAAGCTTTGAAGCCAGGCATTGACTTCTCCTCTTTAGCTATGAAAGCCCTAGATAGTATCTTCTTCCAATAGAAGGCTGTTCCATCTACACTGAAAATCTGTTGTTTAGCACAGCCACTTTCATCAATAATCTAAGCTAGTTCTTCTGGATAACTTGCTGCAGCTTCTTCGTCAGCACTTGCAGCTTCACCTTGCAGTTTTTGTTATGGAGATGGCTTCTTTCCTGAGACTTCACCCACCAACCTCTGCTAGCTTCCAACTTTTCTTCTTTAGCTTTCTCACCTCTCTCAGCCTTCATAGGATTGAAAGTAGTTAGGGCCTTGCTCTGGATTAGGCTTTGGCTTAAGGCAATGTTGCGTCTGGTTTGATCTTCTTTCCAGACCACTCAAATTTTTCCGTATCAGCAATGAGGCTGTTTTGATTTCTTATCATTTGTGTGTTCACTGGAGTGGCACATTTAATTTCTTTCAAGAACTTTTCCTTCACATTCACAACTTAGCTAACTTTCTGGTGCAAGAGGCCTAATTTTCAGCTTGTCTTGGCTTTCAACATGCCCTCCTCACTAAGCTTAATCATTTCTAGTTTTTTTATTTAAAAGTAAGAGATGTGTGACTTTCCCTTTCACTTGAATATTTAGAGGCCATTATTGGGTTCTTAACTGGTCCAATTTCAATATTGTTGTGTCTAGGGGAAAGGGAGGCCCAAGGACAGGAAGAGAGATAGGGAAATGGCTGGTAAATGGGGCAGCCAGAACACACACATTTATCAAGTAAGTTCACTGTCTTTTTTTGTTTGTTTGTTTGTTTGTTTTTTGAGATGGAGTCTAGCTCTTTTGCCCAGGCTGGAGTACAGTTGCACAATCTCAGCTCACTGCAACCTCTGCCTCCTGGGCTCAAGCGATTCTCCTGCCTCAGCCTCCCGGGTAGCTGGGACTGCAGGTGCATGCCACCACACCCAGCTAATTTTTTTGTATTTTCAGTAGAGAAGGGACGTCACCATGTTGGCCATGATGGTCTCGATCTGCTGACCTTGTGATCCGCCTGCCTTGGCCTCCCAAAGTGCTGGGATTACAGGCATGAGCCACCACGCCCGGCCAGTTCACTGTCTTATATGGGTGTGGTTCATGGCACCCAAAAACAATTATTAATACAATAGTAGTATCAAAGATCACTGATTACGGATCACCATAACAGATATAATAATAATTTAAAAGTTTGAAATTTGTGACAATTGTCAAATGTGAGGCACAGACACCACATGAGTACATGCTGTTGGAAGGACAGCATTGACAGACTTGCTCAATGCAAGGTCGTCACAACCCTCCAATTTAGAAAAAACACAGTATCTGCAAACTGAAATAAAATGGACCACAATAAAACAAGGTATGCCTGTATAAAATACACATTAGTATTCTCCTTCAGGCAGATCTAGTGTGTTTGAATCCAGTTCCGTATCTCACTGCCTTTGCAGTGTTAGGCAAGTCATATTACTTCTCGGGGCCTCAGTTTCCTCAGTGTAAAGGAGGAAATAACAGCTTCCATGTTTAAGGATGGGGTGCTTGTCCATGAGATAAATGCAGGTGAAGCAATTAGCAAGGCATCAGACACAGAGATAGTGCGTAGAAGGTGTCAGTTCTTACTACTAATAATTTACTACGAATAACTATGACATAATGCTTACTATTAATAACGTGTGTCTTATACATATTGCTTTTCATGTTTATTATTAACAATCCTTGTAACTAATGCAGTGCCCCGTTACCCAGCAAGAATTCTATAGTAATAAGTGTTCCGAAACTACATATTCCTCACTCTACCAGGCTCCTGGCTGTGCCTCTGCCCCACACCCTCCTTTCCCCTCTGCCCTGGGACCTGCTTTTTAAAAGCACATTTGAACAGAGCCGTTTTAAAACAGAGAGCTACTGTATTCTGATTTCCTCTCTGGCCCAGAGTAAAACATGCTTGATAAAGAGATATTATTTTAAGGGAAATGAGGCTAAACACACTTTTAGTGAGTTGAAAAACAATCAATTTAAAACCAATTAAGGTAATTAAAGAAAATGCCCAGTGAATTAACGCTCAGATTAAAAATAACAAGGCTAATGAAAAACAACGCTTTCATTGAGTTCCCCAATTAACAAATCACATTATTATTTTGAACTTGCTGTTCATTTCAACTCAGTAAAAGTGAAATTTTCTTTTAATAAGCTTCATGTCTGTGCTTAGGCAAATACTTTCTATATATGTTAATATTTTGTGTATGTGCTCATATGAAAAATACTAAATTGTTTGCTTTGCCAAGAAGCCGAAAGAAATAACTAGGGCAGTGGTAATGGTTAGCACTCTGGTCTCTGAATCCAGTAACTAGGGTGTCTCTCTTGATAAATCCCAGGTATATGATAGGGACTCAACAAAGAGTTACTGAATTAATGAATGGGTATTCACATTTTCTAAGATATCAACCTGGGAAGGGAGGCGAATCAGGGGAAACTGAAGATAAAAGTAGAAAACAAATGTTTTATTTGAACTGCGGTGGGTTTAGAAAACCCAAAAGTAACCAACATTTAAAAATCAGGAGGTGAGCTGGGCGCGGTGACTCACACCTGTAATCCCAGCACTTTGGGAGGCTGAGGTGGGCGAATCACAAGGTCAGGAGTTCGAGACCAGCCTGGCCAATATGGGGAAACCCTGTCTCTACTAAAAATACAAAAAATTAGCTGGGCGTGGTGGCGGACGCCTGTAATCCCAGCTATTTGAGAGGCTGAGGCAGGAGAATCTCTTAACCCAGGAGACAGAGGAGGTTGCAGTGAGCCGAGATCGCGCCACTGCACTCTAGCCCGGATAATAGTGCAAGACTCCGTCTCAAAAAAAAAAAAAAAAAAAATCAAGAGGTGTTGCTTAAACATCTAGATTTCCAGCATCTCTTGATAGCACAGAAGCTCTAGAAACAATGGGCCTGTGTTTCTATACAGCAACTGTCCCTGGCGTTACTAACAGCGGCTTCCTTGATCAGAGCAAGGGCTCCTAGGGGCTCCTGCGTTTGCCTCCAGCCCTACTCCTCACTTCCATAGTGACAGAGAGGGGCAATTGCTATGTTCTTTATGCTTGCACCTCTTCAGAGAAATAGTTCTCTGGACTGTTTTTATCTCAAGTGGGCAAATTTTTGAAAGCCTCATTACTTTTCTTATATTTGCCTGCTTTATTTATTTACATACCTGGTTGGCCCTAGAGGTGTTTGAGATAAATGTGACCTCCCATCTACTCGCCTATACAATCATGAAAGAGGTAATGAATCAAAGCCATGTAATATAATCAGATGCTAAACTGATGCTGCAATTTAATCCAATTTAGTGTTCCACAAGCTCACAAAAATGTTCAGATCGGGAGGGATGTTTGATGTTCAGTCCAATGACCTTATTTTACAAATGAGGGCCCAGAAGCCCAGAGAAGGGGAGTGACTTACCCACGGTCACACAGCGAGTTAATGGCAAGGCTTGAGTCAGGACCTGAGGCTCCTGGTGCCAGTGTGGAGTCAGGGCCACCAGACTCCACAGGTCATGGAGGTTATACAGGTGGCATGTCCTCTGAAAATGTGCTCAGCTGACGTGACATCTGGTAAGGGAGGCTGGCTGAAATCTAGTCCTTGCCCCTTTGGCATCTGGCTCAGAGCTGCTTCAGCTGAAGGAAGCCGCCTTTTCTTAATTAGCAATAAAGATGTTATGAGGACTCAGGCGAGCCTGCGTGGTGTAGTTTTCATAAAGGAAAAAGTAATAAAACAGGGTTTTTGAGTCAAAGAGATCTAGGTTTGAATCTCGGCGTGTCCCCTTATTCGTAGTGACATCTTAAGCAAGTCACAATATATCTGGGTCTCAGTTTCTCTGTAAAAATGGGGCCAAGCACAGTGGCTCACACCTGTAATCCCAGCACTTTGGGAGGCTAAGGTGGGAGAATTGCTTGAGGCCAGGAGTTCAAGACCAGCCTGGGCAACACAGCGACACCCCATCTCTACAAAAAAAAAAAGGCAGAAAGAAAAAGTGGTGTTGGGCCTGTAGTCCCAGCTACTCTAGAGACTGAGGCAGGAGGGTGGCTTCAGCCCAGGGGTTCACTGCTGCGGTGTGACCATGCCACTGCACTCTACCCTGGGTGACAGAGACCCCATCTCTTTAATTAAAAATTATATATATACATACATACCTATATACACGCACACACACACTATTAAAATTATGTTCACCTATTTCTTTTTACTTTTTAAAATGTGCCTACTAGAAAATGTGTAATTATACATGTGGCTCTCTCTAGAGTTCCAGGGACAGCACTCCCATGGCTGGGGGTAGGGGATGAAAATAATGCCTAACCCACAGAGCTGTTGTGCCCAGTCCAAAGCTGGTGACATAATAGGTGCTCAGTAGAAGCCCCATTGTTACAGAGTCACAGAGATGGGTTCCAGCACCTTTTAGTTTTCAGTCTCCTAACGTGCCTACGGTGCTCTCAAAAAAACGTGGCAAGAATAACCCCACTCTCCCAGCAGCAGCATGTCGTAGGGAGAAGAGACCTACGGGCAGCCAGTCGGCTTTGGCAAAATGCAATTCACCATCAACAGCCCTGACACCCAGAATTTGAGGGTTAGGAGAGTGCACCTTGATTGTTGGGGGCCTTGGAATTCTACTCAAAGTCATTTCTGGGTGGCTACAACATCCCCAAGCTTAGATGCCTCTTGGCTTGCTTGTGGAAGCCTGTGTGCCCTGTACGGTGAGAGGGAGAAACCAAGATTCTCTTTGAGCTTTCTGTGGCTCCTCTTCCAACTGGGAAACCTTAATAAGACTCAGTCTCCACCTCTATGTGGTGAGAAGAATGGTATCTTCCCTACTGACCTCTCTAGGTCAAGTGATATGTTGCTTTTGAAAGTTCTTGGAAAAGTTTAGAGAGCAACTCAAAAAGTAAGAGTTAATTCTTGTCGTTGTTTCCAAAGAAATACATCTTCAGTGTGGAAAATACCCGTGAGAAAAAAAAAAAGAGAATTAAAATCCTTCTTAATCTCACCACTTTTGTAATGATTATTTAGTGTCTCATTACTCAACGTAGGATAAGCTGGGAACCCGTTAGAAATGCAGAATCGCAGATCCTGCCTATATTAGTTTTCTCAGGCTGCCTTGATAACAAAATGCCATAGACTGGGGGGGCCTTAAACAACAGATGTTTTTTTCACAGTTCTGGAGGCTGCAGGTACAAGATCAAGGTGCTAGCAGGGTTGGTTTCTGGTACAGCTTCTCTCCTTGGCCTGCAGATGGCAGCCTTCTTTGTGTATCCTCGTGTGTCCTTTCTTCTGTACCTGGGTACATGACACTCCTGATATTTCTTTCTCCTCTTATAAGGACACCAGGCCTATCAGATTAGGGCCCCACCGTATCACCTCATTTAACTTTAATTACCTCTTTAAAGATCCTATCTCCAAATAGAATTGCATTGAGGGTTAGGGTTAAGGTTTCAACATATGAATTGGGACAGGGTGAACACAATTCAGTCCGTAACGCAGCCCGAGACTCACTCTATCAGAATCTTTATTTTGACCAGATCCCCAGTGATTCATATGCACATTAAAGTCTGAGGCACACTGGTTTTAGTGTACAGTCTTCCAGTCTTGCTTTTTTATATATGTTTTTACATATGTGCCAAAATAAAACCATAAGTACTGTATTCTAAGCTATTTTGTTCAGCAGTATAATATTTAGCATATGTTATCAACAGTATCCTGTGTCATTTAGTATTACTCAGCCACATCCTATGTGATGACCACAGCATATTCCATTATACAGATGTATCTTAATGTTCCTAATTACTTCCTTATGGTTAGGTATTTATACGGTTTTCAGTTTTTCACCATTATAAGAAACACTGTAATGAACATCCTTGAAGCAACATTATTTGTGTACAGCCATATCTATCCTAAGAAAAAAAATTGAACTGAACCTTTTTTTTTCTGGCCCCTTAGGAGGCCCTCGCCAAGCTCAGTCTCCTCAGCCCCAGAGATCTGGAAGCCCCTCCCAACAGAGGCTCTCCCCACAAGGCCAGCAGCCCCTGAGCCCCCAGTCCGGATCTCCACAGCAGCAAAGGTCACCAGGCTCTCCGCAGCTATCCCGGGCATCCAGTGGCAGCTCCCCAAACCAGGCCTCCAAGCCAGGTGCCACCCTCGCCTCACAGCCCCGGCCCCCTGTGCAGGGCCGTAGTACCTCCCAGCAGGGTGAAGAGTCCAAGAAGCCAGCACCACCCCATCCGCATCTCAAGTAAGTGCTTTGGGAATTGGAAAAGGTATAGGATAGAGCTGGGGTGTAGGCAGAGCTTGGCTGATTCAGGGTTAGGGACTTGGAGACAAAGGAAGACCCAACGAGGCCTTGCCTAGACTTCAAATAGGTAAAAACAGGACTAGAGGACAGAATTTGCTGGGGAGGCCCAACAAGGTGAGAGTATAGATTAGACACCACCGTGACCCTCCGTGTATACACATACCAGCCATTTACCAGCTATTGTTTGCTGCATAACAAACAACCCCAAAACTTAGTGGCTGAAGAAAACAATCATTCTCTTTGTTCATAATTTTTTGGTTCAGCTGTTTGTTCTGAGTTTAGCTCAGCTGGGAGGTTCTTCTGCTGGTGTCTCCTATAGAGTTACAGAATAAAACATAGGATACCCAGTTAGATTCACATTTCAGATAAAAAACAGATAATTGTGAGTATAATTATGCCCCAAACATTGCATGGAATATACTTACACTAAAAAAAAAGTCTTAGCTTTTTATCTGAAATGCACATTTATCTACACATTTTTATTCGCTAAATCTGGCAACTCTACTTTCCTGGGATCACTCATACGACTGCAGTCATCTGGCAGCTTCACTGAGGCTGGATGGTCCAAGAAGGCCTCACACACACATCTGGTTGTTGGTGCTAGCTGTCAGCTGGGCCTCTTTCTCTCCATGGGGTCTCATCCTCCCCAAGGCTAAGCCGAGCTTTCTTACATGGTAGAACTGCTTTTAAAAAGGGAGAAAGTACAAGCTGCAAGGCCTCTTGAGGCCCAGCCTTGGGAGTTATGAAATGTTATTTTATCACACGCTTTTAGTCAAAGCAAGTCACAGGGCCAAACCCACATTCAAGAGGTAGGAAATAAATTTTTGGTAGGAGGAGCCATGAAGTCACATCTCAAAAGGGCAGGCTACAGGGACAAGAGGAATCATTGCAGTCATTTTTGTAAGCCATCCATCACAATACACATATACATCCTGTTTCCTCTCAGGCCCATCTCTTGGTTTGTCCTAAAGAGAGGTCCCAAGTAACTGATCTTTGGAAAGCTCTACCTTCTTTCAAGGCCAAATGTTGATCATCACAGTTCACAGCTAACAGCTATTGTCCACTTACTATGTGCCAAGCACTTTACTTACTTGGGTTTTTTTTAAGTTCTCACAAGCTTAGGAGTTAATAACTATTTCTTATCCCCATTGTACAGACGAGTAAGCAAAGAAAAGATTAAATAACTTGCCAAAGTTTCCAGTTAATAACTAGAAGAGCTGGGATTAGACCCACGACATCCAGTCCAGGGATCATGCTAACAACTATTTTTTTGAATAGGTAATATATTCACATAGTTCAAAGATCTAAAAGGTATCAGGCCAGGTGTGGTGGCTCATGCCTGTAATCCCAACACTTTGGGAGGCCAAGGTGGGTGGATCCCACCTGAGGTCAGGGGTTTGAGACCAGCCTGGCCAACATGGTGAAACCCCATCTCTACTAAAAATACAAAAATTAGCTGGGCGTGCTGGTGCACGCCTGTAGTCCCAGCTACTCAGGAGGCTGAGGCAGGAGAATCGCTTGAACCTGAGAGGCTGAGGTTGCAGTGAGCTGAGATGGCGCCATTGCACTCCAGCCTGGGCAACAAAGTGAGACTCCATCTCAATAAATAAATAAATAAATAAATAAATAAATAAATCAAAGATGTATGTTGAAAAGCCTCGTTCCCGCCCCATTCTCATCCAACGCTTTGCTACCCCCATCCCCAGAAATGACTTTTGTTAGTTCCTATGTGTCCTTTCAGTGCTTCCTTATGCAAATAAAAAATATTTGCATAAATAAATAATAAAATTGTTCAGATCCTCGCCCTCATTTTCTCACACACACAGGAGTATTCACTATCAACACCATTCTGCTCACTGCTTTTCATGTTTAATAATAAATCCTGGGCTGGATGCGATGGCTCATGCCTGTAATCCCAACACTTTGGGAGGTGGAGGGGGGCGGATCACAAGGTCAGGAGATCGAGACCATCCTGGCTAACACAGTGAAACCCCATCTCTCCTAAAAATACAAAAAATTAGCCAGGCGCGGCAGCGTGCGCCTGTAGTCCCAGCTGCTAGGGAGGCTGAGGCAGGAGAATGGCGTGAACCCAGGAGGCGGAGCTTGCAGTGAGCTGAGATCGTGCCACTGCACTCCAGCCTGGGTGACAGAGCAAGACTCCATCTCGAAAAAAAAAAAAATCCTGGAGCACCGAGTTTCTTCGAATTTTATTTTTTATGGCTGTATAGTATTCCGCTGTACCATTGTACTATAATTTATCTAACTAATCCATCACAAATAGAAACTTGGTTTGATCTTACAAATAATGCTGCAATTAATAAATCTGAACATATACTTTCATAGTTGCAAGACTCACTCTAGAGAAAATAACCTGACATGATATTGTTAGATCAAAGGATAAATGTATTTTTAGTTTGACAGACACTAGCAAATGGCCCTCCTGGCAATATGGAATAGCAGTTGACAGCACAGACTCTAGAGTCAGACTGCCTGGGTTCAAATCCTAGCTCCACCACTTAAAAACTACACAACCTCAGATAAGTTGCCTAACCTCGCTGTGCTTCAATTTCCTCACATGTGGAATGGGGACAATAACCGCACAGGGTTATTATAAGGATTGCAATGAGTTTATGCACAGTTGGTGCTTAGAATGCTGCTGCCACTACAGAGGCTTATCTGCATACAGCCTGTCACCACATAAGGAGATCAGCCAACTAATCACAGGACAGACAGGGGCTCTGGGCCTTAAACCAGGTTTGGTCACTGACCTTACAGTGTTCTAGCTAAAAACACATAAATTTCCTGACTTACTGCTTTAAAGAACTTGGTTCAATTCAAGTCAGCAGGTATTTACTGAATTTACCTACTCTGTGCCTTGTTCTAGATAAGACTCTCTGAGGGGTAATAAGCAAGGAGTAAAAGACAGTCCCTGCGTTGAAGTCCCCAGTTTTTGTTTTGTTTTTTTTTTTGAGATGGAGTCTCACTGTCGCCCAGGCTAGAGTGCAGTGGCGCCATCTCGGCTCACTGCAAGCTCCGCCTCAAGGATTCATGCCATTCTCCTGCCTCAGCCTCCCGCGTAGCTGGGACTACAGGCGCACGCCACCTCACCCGGCTAATTTTTTGTATTTTTAGTAGAGACGGGGTTTCACCGTGTTAGCCAGGATGGTCTCGATCTCCTGACCTTGTGGTCCGCCTGCCTCGGCCTCCCAAAGTGCTGGGATTACAGGCGTGAGCCACTGCGCCCAGCACAGTGTGGTGCAGTTTTTAATGTGATGACAGCATCACATGCAGAGCTCTTCAACTTTTGACACATTTACATAATCTCTTCCTAGGTCTGTTGCCTCCCCTCCTATGACTGAGCCTCCTGAGGCAGGGCCTGAATCATATTCGTCTTACACCCCTGTCCCCTAGCACAGGGGAAGTGCTCAGCAAGCAGTTGCTACAGGCTGGCATTTAGGAAGCACTCAGAATGGCATCTGCCATTCAAAAAGATGGCACTAAAAGAATTCCAAAAGCGGGTGGGGGACAGAATTAGCCATAAAGACATTGGAGAAGAGATGGGAATTGAAGTCCAGAATGTCAGAGCTGGAAGAGGCCTGAGGGTCAGCAGGACAAACCCTTCGCTCTACAGATGAGGCAAAGGAAGCCCTGAGAAGGTAAGTTCCTTGCCCAAGGCTACACACATCAAAGAGCAGAGAAGGTTCTAGAATACAGGCCTCCTGATACCTAAACGAGTGCTGGAAATAACTATAACCTGATGTTGATACAGCACATTGCAGTTTACAAAGTGGGTTTGTACCCATAGGCAGGAGAGCAGCCAAGCTACTCTCCAGCAATGCCTGCTGCCTCAACAGTCTGGTATAATGGAAAGAATGTGGCCTCTGGGTGCTCCCCCATTACTTGCTGTGAGGACCGGAGCAAGTTACTTGACTCTGTGAACCCCTATTTCTGAACCTAAGAAATGGGGAAAATAACCACCTTGCAAATTATGTGTGTAATGTACCTGACATCATGTAAGCATTGGAATGCCTGGTTTCTGGTCTTCATAACCTTATGATGATTGGGGTAGCCCATCTGGCTTACAGGCAAGCCCCCAAGACCCATTTCTTTGATAGTCTTCGCCTTGTCTTCCTCAACCCCCTTGCCTTTCTGTTTCAGCAAATCTCAGTCCCTGACTAACAGCCTCAGCACATCCGACACCTCCCAGCGTGGGACCCCAAGTGAAGACGAGGCCAAGGCTGAAACCATCCGCAACCTGAGGAAGTCTTTTGCCAGCCTGTTCTCTGACTAACGCCATCCAGGCTGGGAGGGGAAGAGTGCTCTGCTACACTCGTCCCCCTCCTGCCTCATCTTCCTTCTCAGCCTTGGTTCCTGATGGGAACAGAATGGAGGGCCTGAGAACATACTTTCTAAATGCCTTTGACCCAGGAACCGATTATCTATATTTGTTCCCATTTTCCTTCACCGTGACATTCCAGCATTGTCTGACTGTGAGGTGGGCCTTTGAGAGCCTCCAGGTTCCTCAAAACAGGCCTGAGCGATGGGCATCACACCCTCTGCCTACCCACGTGCCTGCTTACCTGCCAGATAACCAAGTGAGATGTCTGCGAGTGGCTAGTTTTCACATTCTTACTAGTGTTTGGCTCACCTTTGGGCAAAGGCCCCCTCTAGGCCTTGCCCCACCTCCATCAAACGCAGACACTGTAGTCAGACCTCAGCAATATAGGAGGCAATAATCTTTTAACAGTGTTTTGCAAACAAACAAAAAGAGAAAAATCCCAGCCAGGGGAACTCGCCACCTGCCCACGCTAGTTCCATCCACGCTCAAGACCCGCCCTTAGACCAGGCAGGCAAAGGCCCCCATCACACTCGGCCACTAGTGGGGTCCTGAGGCCAAGAAAGAAACCAGACCCTGTATGACAAGTGGGGTCTTTCAGAACACGACAGAAACAGGGGGGCCCTTGTAATGCCACTCATACTCAGAGCATTATTCTTATTTGGACAGCCAAGGGCAGATCACAGGTTATTGTAGGAATAAAGACTAGTTTACAAAGGAGAAAGAGGCCCTGGACTTCCCAAGGAAAGGGTCAGGTTAGGGCTCCTGTACCCATTCTGTTCCACCACTGTTTGATCTCTCTGGCCTCCCACCAGGAATGCCGTTTCCTTTTTATGGATCTGTTGGGAACCAGAGAGAATCAACAGATCAATGACATAGGATCCGAAGTGCAATGATAGTCACTTCTAGTTTGGCATTTCACAAACTCTGTACAGCAAGGTATTGGTAGGTTACTCAATTTCAAAAGGGCCCCATGGCCAAATATGTTTAGGAACCGCTGTTTGTATTTCTTTTTTTGGAGACGCATTGTATATAATATATGTCAAAGGCTTTCGGAATTCCTGCAGGAAAGAAATCAGCTTTGTTAAATCCAAACTGATGATTTGACTCAATAAGTTAGTTGCAGAGCTGGAAAAAGTAGTCTAACTCCCTTCCCAGTGCTCTTTCCCCTATACCAGTCTGCCTCTCATGCTTAGACAGCGTTCAGCGGTGATCCAAATCACCAAGCACCTGGTGCTGGAAACATTGTAGGTGCCAGAAGCAGCCTCCTGGTCCCAAAGAGAGCCCAAGATATTAGAACATAGCCATGTTAGCCCCTTGCCTCCCACTTCGCAACATGAGACATGTCTTCCTTTTGCTGTCCACAGGGAAGGGAGAGAGGGAGGTAAAAATGGAAGTGGCTTTGGCCTGGAGCAGCTTCTAGTTATGCCCAAGCAATGTAGATTGTTTGGTAATCAGCCAAGATCCATCCAGGTTCCCAGGAGCATAAAAGCAATCATCTCCTTTTTGGTCCTTCAAAACCAAACTGGAGTGGTGACGTCAGGGCCAGAGACCCTCTCCTTCTGTGGGCATTGGATCACTTAGAACTCTCAACCTCAGAAAAGCCTGCCTTCAAGCTGGCTTTTGACGGGCTATTGGCTGGAGACTGGGTCAGTATTGAAAGTGCTAGCTGTGCACCTGGCTGCCAGAAAGCCACTTGGCCTTTAGGACAGTCCTCTTCACATTGCCCTCTTCCCTCACTCATGATCAGGTCTGGATTTAAGAGCAAGAGACCCCAGGATAATTCAGAAGTCCTCTCTCTCCTCCTGTTCAAGACTCTTGGTCTGGGATTCAATAATAAGTAGCAGACCTGACATAAGAAAGATCAGATAGGTCCAATTGCCAGTGACTATTGGGAGCCATAATTTGGCAGCTGGAGACTGGTAGGCTCAGGCCTGATTAACACTGGCTAGGATCAGCAGCAAATAAAATAGCCATTGTGTGAGGTGAGAGGTGAAGAGGTGAAGGCCTGGTACTCTTTCTAGCGCCCAAAAAGCCCACCACCCTTACTCTGTCTCCATGCTCGGCTGAGTTCCATGTTATAGGACAGTCCCTGCATGTCTGGCATGTCTGGAGCTCACTCTGCCCAGTAACACATCTCCCTTCTTTTTGCTCAGCCTGTGCAATGCAACAGAACTAGTCTGGCCAGGAGCTGGCAGAATCCTATCCAGAGGCAGCTGAGATGATGCAGTGGGCAGTCAGACACATGAAGCTGCTGCTTTGCAGGCATCATTGTCGACACATTCTTCTAGACCCCCAAGGTGGGTGGAGGTGGGGGTCCTGGGGTCAATATCCCACAGTCATGCTTGGGGGAGGTCAGGTGATGGCAAGGAATAGATCAGACCATTTATAATCCGGTAGAACTTTGCTTCATCCTCCTGCTGCTGCTCACTTAATTCTTTCACCACTCCCTTGGAATTTCTGAAGAAAGCCAAGTGGGGCATAGGGAAAAGAGACGGGAGGTGAAATTCAAAATATCAGATGTGGGTACCTTTTAAAGTTATTCTGTTAAAAGAAATCTAACAGAAGAGAGTATAAATATTGATTAACATAAGGTTTGATGATTAGCCAGTGATTCTAGGAGTCCCCTTACACACACACACACACACACACACACACACACGCCTGGACAATAACTTGGAATTGACAAATGCACATCCTAAAATCCTGTCACCTCGCTATGAGTTCATAGTTCTCTGATAACCGGCTTCAAGAGGAGAATGGCTTCCCCACTTGCCCCCAAGAAGATAGGGATCACTAGTATAAGTCACACGATGAAAGAACCAGAATACCAGCCTCTCAGACTGGAAGGTTCCTGGGCCCTTCCCCCTTCTTTCCTGACAAGGGCAGGTGAGGTTCCCCCATTAGAAGGATCTGGGGCACTGCTTATAAGAGCAGCCTGTTACAAGATTCAAGCACAGAGAGCTATAGGAGTTGAAGTTTGGTTTCTTCCACTTAAAAAAATATATATCCACCCTCCTTACTCAGGGGTAGACCTTTCAAATATTAATAAATAATGCTGTGTGACATCCTGAATAAACGGGTAAGAGAAAACTTGTAGGGCAGGGTGTAACCATGAGGTCCTCAAGTTTCAGGAGATTAAGAACACAGGAAACCCCTGTGGCAATCGTCCCTCTTCAACAATCTCACCCAGTTTTCACTTAGTAATAAAAGACAGCTCAAAACATACAACTGAATGGTAATAGGCTGGACAAAGTTTCTCAACCTGTGGGCCACGGCCATGGGCAGAGCTAGTTACAAAGGCAGATGAAGCTTCATGTCGGACTAAAGGAGTCCGAATTTCTGGTCACAGGACCCAGAACCTGCATCTTTGTCAATCTCCCCACTTTGAATGCACTTTGATGTGAGACCAGCAAACCTGAGCTGGGCTCTGTGGGAAAGCCACTGCATGAGAAACAGTACTGCTACGGGTGTGCTGCAGTCTCCAACGCAGCTACGAACCCACTCCTTTAGTGAGTGAAACTAGTGGCCCCGTGAACAATGACCACATGGCCTAAATTCTCCCATATTCCTATATTCTGTCCTTTGGCCTCAGACACACCTCAGCATCCAAAGGATATCTCCCAGATACTCCAGTATCTGTGTACAACAGCCGCAGAACCTCCTTCCAAGCTCCAAATCAGGCCAGGCATCCTGATTTTTATAACCATACTCATATATCCAGATCCATGACATAACACTAGTTTATAGCCAACACATTTAAATAATTTCCCCACTGGGGCCAGGCGCAGTGGCTCACATCAGTAATCCCAGCACTTTGGGAGGCCGAGGTGGGCGGATGACTAGGTCAGGAGATCGAGACCATCCTGGCTAACACGGTGAAACCCCATCTCTACTAAAAATATAAAAAATTAGCCGGGCGTGGTAGCGGGCGCCTGTAGTCCCAGCTACTAGGGAGGCTGAGGCAGGAGAATGGCGTGAACCCGGGAGGCGGAGCTTGCAGTGAGCCGAGATCGCACCACTGCACTCCAGCCTGGGCAACAGAGTGAGACTCTGTCTCAAAATAATAATAATAATAATAATAATACTTTCCCCATTGGTCTGTGTATGAACATAGGAACCAAGGACACATAGGTCTCATGGCGACCCTAAAATAGTCTGTTCTGTCACATAGACTAGTACCTGTTCCTTCCAAACATGTAACCTTTAATAATTGTGACATTTTGAAATGGGAAAGGGCAAAAAGGAGGGAGAGGGGAGTCATGCTGTATAGACTCTAAAATGTTATGTTTGTTGTTTTTCTTGCTTTGTTTCACAACTTTGAGCCAGAGAGAGGCTAGCATTTTCCCTCCAAGCTGACTCGGGGAAGCTGAAACACAACAAAGACCTATTTGATTTGTTCACAATGAACAGGGATTTAAAAACGCAGCCTTAGCGGACAGCTCTACCAGCCACAGAAAAGTTCTTCCAGATCTTCCTCCCGTCAGCGCGATAAAATGGTACCGTACTTTGGTTAAATGTAAAATCAGCTTTCCAGGAACAGTGGCATATCCTTTCTCTTCCATCAGTTCCCTAGATTCTCTTCATTACTACATTCTCTAGCCTAACATTCCGTCCCTGCTGAATTAACTAATATTCAGATACATTCAAGATAGAACTAACACTCAATTCTATCTTTCCAAAATTTAAGGGGATGATAGGTCTTCACTCACATGGTAACAAACACAGCAGCAAACCCCATAAAACTGAACATCAACTGCCTTCTGGAAGTTCTCATCTGGCAAGCTAGTGCAGGTATCTTGTGCATGGGTCAAGAGAGTGAAGCTCAGAGCACATTGCTTGGCACCCAGCAGGTGTTCAGGACATGTTTTAGCTCAGCCCTCCTAGAAAACTATGAAATAAAATCCAAACAAAAGTATTAAGATTGAAGTAAAAAGATGTTTTTCTAAGAGTATCAATATATGGAAGTCACTTGCCCAGGAACAGAATCAAACAAACCAAAACCCAGTAAAATGAGATAGAGAAAAGAAGCGGAAGAAGATCAATGGCAGGTTTTCAACCTCAAAAAGACCTCTTCCAAACTGAATCTGAAGAGGAATGGGAGGAGGCAGAATGAGAACATGAGACCTCTCCTTGGGGCCCCTTTCATGCGCGTCTGTGTGAAGAGACCACTAAACAGGCTTTGTGTGAGCAACATGGCTGTTTATTTCACCTGGGTGCAGGCCGGATGAGTCCGAAAAGAGAGTCAGCAAAGGGAGTAGGGATGGGGCCGTTTTATAGGATTTGGGAAGGTAATGGAAAATTACATGCAAAGGGGGTTGTTCTCTGGTGGGCAGGGGCGGGGGTCACAAGGTGCTCAGTGCGGGAGCTTCTGAGCCAGAAGAAGGAAATTTACAGGGTTAATCACTCAGTTAAGGTGGGGCAGGAACAAATCACAATGGTGGAATGTCATCAGTTAAGGCGGGGCAGGGCCTTTTCACTTCTTTTGTGATTCTTCAGTTACTTCAGGCCATCTGGGCGTATACGCGCAAGTCACAGGGGATGCGATGGCTTGGCTTGGGCTCAGAGGCCTGACATTCCTGCCTTCTTATATTAATAAGAAAAATAAAACAAAATAGTGTTGAAGTGTTGGGGCGACGAAAATTTTTGGGGGGTGGTATGGAGAGAGAATGGGCGATGTTTCTCAGGGCTGCTTCGAGTGGGATTAGGGGCGGCGTGGGAACCTAGAGTGGGAGAGATTAAGCTGAAGGGAGGTCTCGTGGTAAGGGGTGATATTGTGGGGATGTTAGAAGAAACATTTGTTGTGTAGAATGATTGGTGACGGCCTGGATATGGTTTTGTATGAATTGAAAAACTAAATGGAATAAGAAGGAGAAAAACAGGTATAAAAGGTCTAAGAATTGGGAGGACCTAGGACATCTGATTAGAGAGTGCCTAAGGAGATTCAGCATAGTCCTGCCAGCAAAGATTATTTATTTACTTCAAGAGTTAAAAGTGGCAGTTTGGGGATAGCACGAGGAGATATCAGCTGTGATGGCTTGGAGAAACAGTGTAAACTGGCAGTGTAAACAAGAGCAGGGCATGTATGAGTAGTTGAGAACGGAGAATAGGAGTATGACTAGACAGAAGATAGTAGGGATGACAAGTTTTTTTTGGGGGCACAGTCTAAGTTGGTCTGGTGTCTGGAATGAGACTGGGGCCTAATAAAAAGGAGCATCTATACAGGAGCTTAAATGGGCTGTACCTTGTAGCATTCTGAGGACAGGCCTGAATTCTGAGAAGCGAAAGTGGTAAAAGTATTGTCCAGTCCTTTTTAAGTTGGTGGCTGAGCTTGGTGAGGTGTGTTTTTAAAAGACCTTTAGTCCGTTCTACTTTTCTTGAAGATAGAGGACCGTAAGGGATATAAAGGTTTCACTGAATACTAAGAGCCTGAAAAACTAATTGGCTGATTTGACTAATAAAGGCTGGTCTGCTATCAGACTGTATAGAGGTGGGAAGGCTAAACTGAGGAATTATGTCTGACAGAAGGGAAGAAATGACTGTGGTGGCCTTCTCAGACCCTGTAGGAAACGCCTTTACTTATTCAGTGAAAGTGTCTATTTAGACTAAGAGGTATTTTAGTTTCCTGACTCGGGCATGTTGAGTAAAGCTAATTTGCCAGTCCTGGGTGGGGGCAAATCCTGGAGCTTGATGTGTAGGGAAGGGAGGGGGCCTGAATAATCCCTGAGGAGTAGTAGAATAGCAGATGAAACACTGAGAAGTTATTTCCTTGAGGATAGATTTCCACGATGGAAAGGAAATGAGAGGTTCTGAGAGGTGGGCTAGTGGCTTGTACTATAGCATAGCCTGGCTTTGCTGGTGTGTGGCGATTAGGCCTGGTGGAACTGCCATCAAAAAATCAAGCGTGATCAGGGTGAGGAACAGGAAAGAAGGAAATATGGGGAAATGGGGTGAGTATCAGGTGGATCAGAGAGATACAGTCATGGGGGTCAGGTGTGGTATCAGGAATAATGTGGGAGGCCAGATTGAAGTCCCGGCCAGGAACAATGGTAATTGTGGGACTTAACAAAGAGTGAGTACAGCTGAAGGAGCCGGGGAGCAGAAAGTATATGCGTCAGGTATGAGGAAGAAAATAGATTTTGGAAGTTATGAGAAATGTAGAGAGTGAGTTGAGCATAGTTTGTGATTTTTAGGGCCTCTAAAAGTATTAAAGCAGCGGCAGCCGCTGCACGCAGACATGAGGGCTAGGCTAAAACAGTAAGGTCAAGTTGTTTGGACAGAAAGGCTGCAGGACGCAGTCCTGGCTCTTGTGTAAGAATTCTGACCGCACTAACCATGCCTAGGAAGGAAAGGAGTTGTTATTTTGTAAGGGATTGAGGTTTGGGAGATTAATCGGACACGATCAGCAGGGAAAGCACGTGTGTTTTTATGAGAATTATGCCGAGATAGGTAACAGATGAGGATGAAATTTGGGCTTGACTGAAGTAATGGGGGCTGTCTATGAAGTCTTGCAGTAGTACAGCCTAGGTAATTTGCTGAGCCTAATGGGTGTCAGGGTCAGTCTAAGTGAAAGCAAAGAGAGGCTGGGACGAGGGGTGCAGGGGAATAGTGAAGAAAGCATCTTTACGATCAAGCACGGAATAGTGAGTTGTGGAGGGAGGTATTGAGGACAAAAGAGTGTACGGGTTGGGCCCCACAGGGGGGATAGGCAAAACAATTTGGTTGATACGGTGCAGATCCTGAACTAACTTGTAAGGCTTGTCTGGTTTTAGGACAGGTAAAATAGGGGAATTGTAAGGAGAGTTTATAGGCTTTAAAAGGCCATGCTGTAGCAGGCGAGTGATAACAGGCTTTAATCCTTTTAAAGCGTGCTGCGGGATGGGATATTGGCGTTGAGTGGGGTAAGGGTGATTAGGTTTTAATGAGATGGTAAGGGGTGCACGATCGGTCGCCAAGGAGGGAGTAGAGGTATCTTATACTTGTGGGCTAAGGTGGGGGGATACAAGAGGAGGACGCAAAGGAGGCTTTGGATTGGGAAGAAGGGCGGCAATGAGATATAGATGTAGTCCAGGAATAGTCAGGGAAGCAGATAATTTAGTTAAAGTGTCTCAGCCTAATAAGGGAACTGGGCAGGTGGGGATAACTAAAAAGGAGTGCTTAAAAGAGTATTGTCTAAGTTGGCACCAGAGTTGGGGAGTTTTAAGAGGTTTAGAAGCCTGGCCGTCAATACCCACAACAGTTATGGAGGCAAGGGAAACAGGCCCTTGAAAAGAAGGTAATGTGGAGTGGGTAGCCTCCGTATTGATTAAGAAGGGGACGGACTTACCCTCCACCGTGAGAGTTACCTAAAGCTCGGCATCCGTGATGGTCTACGGGGCTTCTGAGGCGATCAGGCAGCATCAGTCTTCAGCCGGTAAGTCAAGAAGGAGTCAGTCAGAGAACCTTGAGCCAGAGTTCCAGGGGCTCTGGGAGTGGCTGCCAGGTGAGTTGAACAGTCCGATTTTCAGTGGGGTCCCGCACAGATGGGACGCGGCTTAGGAGGAATCCCGGGCTGCGGGCATTCCTTGGCCCAGTGGCCAGATTTCCGGCGCGTGTAGCAAGCTCCTGGGGGAGGAGGTTCCGGAGGAACGCCTGGTTGCGTTTGGAAGTTCTTGTGTGCTGGAGATGTGACTGGGGATTGTCTCACAGTGGAGGCAAGGAATTGCAACTTTTTTCTGTTATTGCACACCTTGAAGGTGAGGTTAATTAAGTCCTGTTGTGGGGTTTGAGGGCCAGATTCCAATTTTTGGAGTTTTATTTAATGTTGGGAGCAGATTGGGTAATAAAATGTATATTGAGAATAAGACGGCCTTTTGACCTTTTAGGGTCTAGGGCTGTAAAGCGTCTCAGGGTCGCTGCCAAACAAGTCATGAACTGGGCTGGATTTTTATATTTGATGAAAAAGAGCCTAAACGCTATCTGATTTGGGATAAAGAAAAAGGAGCATTAACCTTGACTATGCCTTTAGCTCTCCAGCCACCTTTTTAAGAGTAAATTGCTGGGCAGGTGGGGGAGGGCTAGTCACGGAACGAAACTGTAAGCCGGATCAGGTGTGAGGGGAGGCGATAAAAAGATTATAGGGTGGAGGAGCAGAGGCTGAGGAAGAATTGGGACCTAGCTTGGCCTGGCAAGGAGCAGGCTGGGGAGGAAGGGAGAGGTCAGATGGGTCTGTAGAAAAGGAAGATTAGAAAGACTCAGCGACGCTTGGGGTTGGGACTGAGGGGACAGGCGGGAGATTTGGGACGAGTTGCACTGGGCACAGAGACTAGGAAGGGACTGATGTGTAAAAGAATGCCTGGACGTCAGGCACCTCAGACCATTTGCCCATTTTACGACAAGAATTATTTAGATCTTGTAGGATGGAAAAATTGAAAGTGCTGTTTTCCGGCTATTTGGAACTACTGTCGAGTTTGTATTGGGGTCAAGCGGTGTTGCAGAAGAAAATGAGGCGCTTAGATTTTAGGTCAGGTGAGAATTGAAGAGGTTTTAAGTTCTTAAGAATACAGGCTAAGGGAGAAGAAGGAGGAATGGAAGGTGGAAGCTTGCCCATAGCGAAGGAGGCAAGCCCAGAGAAAAGAGTAGAGACACGCAGAAGGGGTGGGGGTTTCTTGCCCTCCAGAAAAGCAGAGAAAGTGTTGGGGCACGGAAATAAGGGATTGGGGCACAGAGATAAGAGGTTGGGGCGCGGAAATAAGGGATTGGGGCGCAGAGATGAGGTTGGGGCGCGGAAATAAGCAATTGGGGCGCAGAGATAAGAGGTTGGGGCGCGGAAATAAGCGATTGTGGCACAGAGATAAGAGGTTGGGGCGTGGAAATAAGCGATTGGGGGGTTCTTGCCCCCTAGGAAAGCGGGACTAGCAGCTAAGGGTGAAGAAGAGGTTGAGGGGTACTTGCCCCTGCCCCAGGAAAGCAGAGAAGGGGTAGAGACAAGGAGAGAAGGGGTTGGGGTACTTGCCCCTTCCCCAGAAAAGCGAGACTTGCCGCCAAGGGTGAAGGACCAAGGCAGGCGTCCGTGCGTGGTCTGACACCTTTGAAACGTGGGTGAATAATCAGAGGCGTCCCTGCAATGATTAAACACCAAGGGAAGGCTACCTTCCCAGTCCGTGACCGCCGCCGGAGTTTTGGGTCCACGGATAAAACGTGTCTCCTTTGTCTCTCCCAGAAAATGAAAGGAATTGAAATTAAGAGAAGGGAGAGATTGAAGAGTGGAAAGGAGAAAGTGGTTGAGGGACAGTGAGAGACGTTGGAGAAGAGAGTAAGAAGAGACCGCTTACCTGATTTAAAATTGGTGATATGTTCCTTGGGCTGGTCGGTCTGAGGACCTGAGGTCGTAGGTGCATCTTTCTCACGGAGCAAAGAACAGGAGGACAGGGGATTGATCTCCCAAGGGAGGTCCCCTGATCTGAGTCATGGCACCAAATTTCATGCGCGTCCGTGTGAAGAGACCACCAAACAGGCTTTGTGTGAGCAACATGGCTGTTTATTTCACCTGGGTGCAGGCCGGATGAGTCCGAAAAGAGAGTCAGCAAAGGGAGATAGGGGTGGGGCCATTTTATAGGATTTGGGAAGGTAATGGAAAATTACAGTCAAAGGGGGTTGTTCTCTGGTGGGCAGGGGCGGGGGTCACAAGGTGCTCAGTGGGGGAGCTTCTGAGCCAGGAGAAGGAAATTCACAGGGTTAATCACTCAGTTAAGGTGGGGCAGGAACAAATCACAATGGTGGAATGTCATCAGTTAAGGCAGGGCAGGGTCTTTTCACTTCTTTTGTGATTCTTCAGTTACTTCAGGCCATCTGGGCGTATACGTGCAAGTCACAGGGGATGCGATGGCTTGGCTTGGGCTCAGAGGCCTGACAGCCCCCAAGAAGGTGAGGTGACTACAGGGCTGTGAGCTGTAGGGGAGATGCCATTGTCAGCATCGGTCAGGGAGGTTGGAGTGAGCAGACCAGGACAACTCCACAGCTTAAGCAGCAAAGGTCTGGGACCAAGGAAAGGAAGCACACAGACTGTGCTTCACACAACAAACACAGCAGAGTTCCAAACAGCACAGCCTCAGCTCGAACCAGCCCAGGAGCACACAGTGTCCTTTCAGGTTCTGCCCCTTCCAGCCCCTGAGGGCAGACTAATCTCTTATGCTTTATTCAACTTTGTAAAACACTGGTGGCTCATTTTATGTGTTTTGAATTGGTGAAAGGATGCAGGTTAGTCACGGGTTAAGCTCATTAAGTCAGCCTTGCAGATACAAGTGGTGGCTTAATTATCCTGGAGCAGAGCTCATTGCCTGAGAGCACTTTAAAAGAGTCTCCGCTTTTCCTTTATCCTAGAGGGCAAGCAAGCTGGCTGGTTACTAACTATATTGTCAAAAGCTGTCCTAGACTCACTCCTAAGTTGCTGCTGATTAACTGTTCAGTCTAATATCTGGACTCTAATAGAAGGCAGCACTTTTGGTTTGGTAGGAGACAAATTGGAAGGCTGGGCATCAAGTAAGTTAAAGTCGTCCATTTATCAAACACAATGCATAAGAGACACAGAGGCTCCCGTTTCCATGGACGAGACACGCAGCTGAAAGAGATGAGCTGTGGACACTTAGACCTTGTATTGAGATGAATTGGCAGGCCAAGAGGAAAAGAAGAAAGTGGTTGGGAAATATTTTTTGGAACTGGTGAGGCATTCCTGCAAGGGAAATCAATCTAAAACTAAACATTCTTTCCACAATGTGTGTATGAAATACACTTACTTTATTTTATAGAGATGCGGTCTTGCTATATTGCCCAGGCTGGTCTCAAACCCCTGGCCTCAAGCAATCCTCCCACCTAGGCCTCCCAAAGTGCTGGGATTACAGGTGAGAGCCACTGCACCTGGCTACACGTGTTTTAATCCTTGAAAATCCTCAATCCCTTTCATTATTTTTATACTGATTGGTCTTCCCAACTGTAATTTGTTTCCAGACTCTCATATTCTAAGTGTCTGTTCTCCACGGTCTTTCACTGAGTCTAGAGCAGAAGCAAGGTCACCATTCTTTGGCACTCAGTTAACATACTATGTTTTGCTATGGCTTAGCAGAAACTAAGTGCTGTAACCTATTGGGAATCTCAGGAGGGACTTTTTTGTGTTTTTTTTTTTTTTTGAGACGGAGTCTCACTCTGTCACCCAGGCTGGAGTGCAGTGGCGCAACCTCGGCTCACTACAAGCTCCACCTCCCGGGTTCACGCCATTCTCCTGCCTCAGCCTCCCGAGTAGCTGGAACTACAGGCGCTTGCCACCACGCCCGGCTAATTTTTTGTATTTTTAGTAGAGACAGGGTTTCACCATGTTAGCCAGGAGGGTCTTGATCTCCTGACCTCGTGATCCGCCCATCTCGGCCTTCCAAAGTGCTGGGATTACAGGTGTGAGCCACCGCGCCCGGCCAGGAGTGACATTTAAGCTAGTCAGTTTAAATCAAATCTTTGTTCTATGTGACTTACCCAGTACTTCCCAATAATCTTATCCACTCCACACCTTCTACAGTCAACTGAAGACTACCCAAAGGAGCACTGCTCATGCATATGGCACAGCAGAGCACCGGGACCTGCCCAGCTCCTCTCTGAAGCTCTGTAATCAGGCAGCTACCAAGGAAGAGTCAGACTTCAACAGTTTTTACACAAGGAATCTCAAAATCTTAAGTTGGAAGGACACCTTCCATGATTTGATTCCCAGCCACATAAAACCTGTTATCTTTCATTTATAAATGGGGGGAATGGGGCAGAGAAAGCTCCTGTTAATAAAAGAGGAGGCCACGCGCAGCGGCTCATGCCTGTAACCTCAGCACTTTGGGAGGCTGAGGTGGGCAGATCACGAGGTCAAGAGATCAAGACCATCCTGGCCAACATGGTGAAACCTCATCTCTACTAAAAATACAAAAATTAGCTGGGCATGGTGGCGGGCACCTGTAGTCCCAGCTACTCAGGAGGCTGAAGCAGGAGAATCGCTGGAACCCAGGAGGCAGAGGTCGCAGTGAGTCGAGATCGCACCACGGCACTCCAGCCTGGCGACAGAGCAAGACTCCATCTCAAAAAAAAAAAAAAAGTTGGGGGGAATAAGGGGCTACAGAAAGGCATAGGACAAATCAGTGATGTTGAACCACATCTTACTAAGATGCTTTGCTTGCTGTGGCACTCTAAACTCTCTTGCTTGCTTCCATGACAATACATCCAGGTGATCTCAGAAAATTGTGCAGTGAATAGGCTACTGTGAAACTACGACTTTCCTCTCATTATACACCAGCAATACATACAGCTCAACAGTCTCAGTTTAATGACAAGAATGTAGGATTTCACAAGCTTCTAACCATAAATTCAGCTTTTCAAGAGCAAATGCTTTGAGGATCGTCTTAAGAATTATAAAAAAACTATTGTGAGAGATCTGCAAATTTAGGTTTAGGCCACTGCTGATATCCTAAACTAAGTGAGATCTGTAATGTCTGCAAGTTAGTCAGAGGTGAGGATGGAAAGCAGCACCAGTATCCACAGGACACCAGCACCATCCATGGAGTTCTCAAGGGCCACTCAAAAAAGCCTGCATTCTGAACACTTGTTGTTTTATAGTATTTGGTGCTTCTGGTCGTCACCATGTCCTCCCACGCCCACTACACACATACACACATCCCCTGCATAGTGCAACATAACATTGCAAAGCCACAAAGAAATGTATCAGAGAACTAGTATATGGACCCAACAAAGCTTCAGGAGGACCTTGTTAGACCCAATTAAAGCCATATGGCATCTAGTGAACACATTTTTAAAAGGCTATCCTGTAGCTCAGAAATTACAAAATACCACAGAAAGAAATGTCAACAACTCCAATTCTTTACTACACATTAAGCTACTAAAAGTAACAGGCCTCAAGAAAATCGTATTATTCACTGCATTTTCTTCACTGTGATAAAAAAAAAAAACCTCAATATACATGTGTAGCAAAAAAAAAAATTCACTTGTATGTAGGACTCAAAATATTCTTGCAGCACATAACATTCCAAGCCATTTCCTTATATGCAAAACAGAATTTTTAAAAAAGCAGGAAGACATTGGCAATATTCCTATTTTCTGTAGATGCTAGTAGTGTTTTATTCCTATGTTGTGAATCAGATTGTCACTATAGCATGTTTCTACAGTTGTTTGTGTAAGTCATTTGTGTTTGGCCTTTTTCTTGTAGAAAAAATAAATCTTGAATTTTGTGTATTTAAGTCTGAAAAGCAAAATGTTCTTCAAATAAAAGGCTATCTTTGAAGAACAAGTACCTGATTAGCACTCAAAGCAGTAAAACTTTTTAAAAAGGTATCTTCTACTTAAGTTACAAATTAGGGGCTAAGTGTTCAAAACACAAGGAAAACAAAATCATAACCACCTCATCCCAGGAGCCACAAACAGGAGTCCCTAATACCAAATGGCCTTTCAACAGCATTGCTTCACAGCCCAGAAAGTTCCACCACAGAACCCAAGAAAGAGCTGCAGAGAGAGAGAAGTCGAGAGAAGAGGTGGATTTGAGTAGGTGTGTAGCCAAAGCACCCACCCCAAGTCCAGTTCAACCAAACTAGCTCTGTTTTCATTCATTTCATAAATCAGGCCTTTATTAGAAGACAGAGCGCTGCTAAAAAAAAAAAAAACAAACAAACAGAAAACCCTTACAAAAATTATCTGCCTATGCTATGTTCTCTGATAATTCTGAAATGTCCAAGTAACATTGTGTATCTGTTCTGAATATTTACTACATATCTTTCTGTAATAAAAGTCAAGACCACCATGTAATTTACACTTTTTTTTAATCTGGTAAGAACAGCATCAGAAAACAAACTTCAATCTAGAGGAGAACCAAGAGCAGGGAGATTGGCAGCCAACTATTCCCAAGGCCAACCTTGTCACAGAGGAACCTTTGGGTCATACCACCCCTAGGGCTATAAATGTATCTCTTAAAAGGTTTCTGGGAGTGCAACTCTCAACACCACAATCAGAAAATAACACTCGAGATCAGCACCCCAAGGAGTTGACATCTGTAGTTTAGAAACAAAAACAAATGGAGCTCCAGAAATGAAATTACAAATCAATCACATGAATGACAGCCGGCCATCAGTTGGCCGACCCCTGCTGGGTCTAAAGGGAAATCTGTCATTGGGGCCGCCTCGCCCTGGCAAGATGGGGTTAGGTCCTGGAAGTGGGCCAACTGGATCAAAGCGTGGTCTCAGTGGAGGAAACTGGCTGGGCGTCTCCCCAGGACCAGGAATGAGTGAACTGATTGGGTCTCCAACATAGGGAAGTGTTGGTCTTTGGTCATATTCACCCCCGATAATTCCTGGAGGAAGGCGGGAGCTAGGAAATGGCCTAGGGTGCAAGGGGTTGGGATAGAATGGAATGGTGTGAGTTGACGATGGCAGGAGCATCACAAACCGCCCTTTCGGGGATTCTTTTCTTTGTATGTGCCTCTTCCTGTACAGCTGTAGAAAAAAGAAAAATAAAAGAACAAGATAAGGTAAGTGATCTGGATGTTTCCCTTTAGTTCTAATTTGCTTTCATAGTAAAGATCTATAGGCACACCTCAGACATATTGTGGATTTAGTCCCAAACCAATGCAATAAACCAAGTCACACAAATTTTTTTGGTTTCCCAGTGTATATAAATGCTATGCTATGTTTACACTATAGTAAGTGTGCAATAGCATTGTATCTAAAAAGACAATGTACATACCTTAATTTAAAAATATGCTAACAATCACCTGAGCCTTTAGCAAGTTGCAATCTTTTTGCTAATAGAGGGTCTTGCCTCCATGTTCGTTGCTGCTGACAGATCAGGGTGCTGGTTGCTAAAGGCTGAAGTGGCTGTGGCAATTTCTTAAAATAATACAACAGTGAAGTTTGTCACATTGACTCACTCTTCCTTTCATGAAAGATTTCTCTGTACATGCGATGCTGTTTGATGGCATTTTACCCACAGTAAAACTTTCAAAATCAGAGTCAACCTTCTCAAACCTTGCTTCTGTTTTGTCAACTAAATTTATGTAATATTCGAAATCCTTTGTTGTCCAGGAATAGATTCCATTCCAAGAAACCACTGATAAAGAAAATGTGGCATATATACACCATGGAATACTACTCAGCCATAAAAAGGAATGAAATAATGTCTTTTGCAGCAACTTGGA